>NC_000005.10:163943142-164246172 GCF_000001405.40 Homo sapiens
TTTTTTTTTTTTTTTTTTTTTTAAAGAACAGGACCTGCCTGTGTTGCCCAGGCTGGCCTTGAACTCTTGGGTTCAAGCGATCCACTTACCTAAGCCTCTTAAAGTGCTGGGATTATGGATGTGAGCCACAGTGCCCGGTTGGAATGAACATTTTTTAATTGACTGGACGCTAATCATTAGAGAAATGCAAATCAAAATTACAATGGGATGTCACTTTACATTCCTTAGGATAGCTACTATTTAAAAAAAGAAAATAGCAAATGTTAGCAAGGATGAGGGGAAATTAAAGCCCCTGTCCACTGCTGGTGGGAATGTAAAATTGTATAGCTGCTATGAAAACAGTACTGAGGTTCCTTAAAATATTTAAATAGAATCTGATCTAGTAATCCCACTTCTGGGTATGTATACAAAATAACTGAAAACAGGCTCTCAGAGAGCTACTTGCACACCATGTCCATTGCAGCATTATTCAAATTAGCCAAGAAGTGGAAGCTTAGCCAAGAAGTGGAAGCAACCCAAGTGTTCCCTAGGAGATGAATGTTTAAATAAATGTAATATGCACATACAATGGAATATTACTCAGACTTAAAAAGGAAGGAAATCTTGTCATGCTACAACATAAATGAATGTTGAGGGCACTATACTAAGCAAAATAAGGCAGTCACTAAAAGACAAATACTGTATGAGTCCACTTCTATGAGGTGTCTGGAATAGTCCAACTCATAGAAACAGAAAGTAGACTGGTGATCGCCAGAGAGAAGAGGAAACTGGGAGTTGCTCAGTAGGTATAGAGTTTCAGGTTTACAAAATGAAAAAGTTCCAGATATCTGTTATGCAACAATATGGACATACCACAAATTAAATATATGTTTTTAAATGATTACGATAATAAATTTTATGTTATGTGTTTTTATCACAACTAAAATGAACAATTAAAGGAAAAAAAACTTAGGCTGCGCACAGTGGCTCATGCCTATAATCCCAGCACCTTTGGAGGCCTAGTTGGAAGGATCACATGAACCCAGGAGTTCAAGACCAGCCTGGGAAACATAGTCCGACTCCATCTCTACAAAAATTTAAAAAATCAGCTGGATATGGTGGTGCACACCTCTAGTTCCAGCTACTTAGGAGGCTGAAGTGGGAGGATTTATTGAGTCCAGGAGATCAAGGCTGCAGTGAGATGTTATTGTGCCACTCTACTCCAGTCTACATGACACAGCTAGACCCTGTCTGAAAAAAAAATAAACTTAAAAAAATATGGGAGGTATTATAGGATTATATAATATCCTTGCCCAAAAGCCACTTTTAGCATACCTTCAATTAAAAAGTAAAAGCAATATATACTTATAAAGTTAGAAATGTTAATTTATATAAGAAGATTAAAAAAACATAAATCCACACCCCATTCCTTTACCTTACTTACTGAACTACTATTCATTTATGATTCCTTTTCCAGCAGAGGGACTATATAGGGAACAGGGAATAGGGAACAGGGAATTGATCACTCAGTTTTTGATAAAAAGATGGCTACTAAATAAGGTGAAATGTTTCTTTAAAGCTTGTACCAAACAATAATTTGATTTCTGAGTGTCTACCAATAACCACCTGTAATTTATACAGTAATATTTAAATGATGGGATAGTTCCAGTCACTGAATATGCATGTGTTAACTCAGTTAATTTACCAGTAAAGATACAAATGAAGTGTTTTTAAATTGAGAATGGCTAGTTGCCATTCTCAATTTAAATGGAAACTATCACCATAGCTCTCAGGAGAATATTTTCATCCCCAGGGTAATCAATAGTTTCACAAATCTGTTCACATTCATGTACTTGAGTTTTTCAATCAGTATTTTCAGTGGTTTATGAGCCATATTTATGAAAGCTTCCCAGCACTGACAATATTAAGGAAAAGGTCTCTGACATTTTAAAGATTTTCTTTCTTTATATTTAAAACTTTGATTTTACTCATATTTATTTTATGGAAGGAATGAAGTTGAGAACTAAAGTACTTATCTATAGATAGATTCTGCAGCTTTTAGGAACGAGCACAGATTAATGACTAGAGACAGCACATACACAAAATCCCCACACAATATTTTCCAAAAAGAGCTGGCCACCAAGACAGAAAGTAACATAGTGCTTCTCACAGTAGCTTCCCTTAGTCTTTACATCTTGAATGATGTCAAACATCTGGGAGTGATTTATTTTTCTTAACAGTAGGATCAGCTAGATCAGGAATACTTAGTTATTATCAATCCACAGCCCTTTTTTACTTTCTGCTTTTATGATCTCTCCAGAAGAAGAAACACACACACATACACACTTCCAGGCATTTTTATTTGTGAAAATATACAGAAACATCCTGTTCCACTGTGTAAGCTGTATATCCACAGGGCCATATTGTCACCTAGGGGAGAAAAGTGAGGTCAGCACCCGGCTGTTTCTGAGCAAAGATCTCAGCCTCCATTTTCCATCATTCTAGAAATCATTTCTTCTCAGCTACCAGTTAGCCTCAACAGAAATCATTAACTGAAAAAATCTCCACTAACTATTTGAAACACCTCATGACAAAACTTTAAATTAATCTCTGGACTCGATTTCATTTATCTTTCTGTCTACCCCTGTACTGTTGTCAAAATGCTTGAAGTATAGCTTTATACTTTATACTTATACTTTATGTGGATTTATGCTTTCTATTACATTTTCTCTAGCAAGGGCTAGTTTTCTCTCCTAACCCTTATTTTTCAAGTATCTTCTTCATATGGCTGCATAAATATTTTTTTCTATATGGATTGATCTGGGTGTCCTGAGCCAAGGCTTCCTTGTTAGAATTAGAGATTAAGGATATCAAAGTAACAAAATGATACAGTACTTGATTTCCGCAGTTCACGATCTAAATAATAAAGCAGTCAGGATTACAGCTCTGGTATACCGTTGCTGAAATGGAAAGATAAATCTGGTATATTGCTTTAATATGTGTATATAAAAATCTCATATTTAAAAATATTATTGAAAAGCAAATAGGAATTTGGGTGGAAATTTAGGAAGTAGAAAGTCAAAATCAGTAAACCCTTCACAGACTAAGTAATCACAGGTATTAACACTAAAAAGCAAATACGTTGCACTGTAGAACTCCCACTGCTCTTAAAGAGAAGGCCTCACCTGAGCCCCACGGCCAGATGGATTTGGTTTGGCAGGTTGGGGCAGGACTTGGGAGCACTGAATTACTCTCTCTCCAATTATGGCTGAAATTATATTGGTCGGGGAGACCTGAATAAATGGACCAACAAGATAAGGCACAGCCTGGGATGAGAGGGAGAAATTTTGGGGATAGGGAGAGTTTTGTAGACAAAATTACTAATTTTAGGTTATTAAATTTTTATCATTATTAAATTATTTACCATGGGGCATGCTAGCATCTCTCTCCCACTTTGTCATCCTTAGAGTATCCTTAATAGAGACCCCATGACTCACTCATGTTTTTTGTGTGTGTGTCTGTGAAAGTGGATTCATTTAAGCAAACTCAAAGAGGGGAGCTGAACTATATGTTTAACTTGATACAAGACAAGGCTAGATAATATGGGCAACCTGGAGTTGAGACAGTGGAAATTCTGAAAGTGTAGAGCCCTGGAAAAGAGCCAAAAAAAAAAAAAAAAAAAAAAAAGACCAAAAACAAACAAACAAACAAAAAAACGGAAAACTTCAAACATTCAGGGCGTAGAAGTAGAGATTTCAAATAAAGCTGGACCCGGTTCTTGTCTGGATATGTGGAACGGTTACGAAATTACAGATACATTGTAAATTCAGGGTTGGAAAAGAGCAAGGCCAGGGTAGGGTGAAGGGATTTTGTAGCCCAGGCCTTGCTGTGAGCCTGGATGGTAAAGGATGGGCAATAGGTTCACTTTCCCCTCCTTGCTCCTCCACTATCCTGAGGGTTCTTCACAACTGTCCCCTGGATTAGTGATGCTACTGGGATCTCTGGACCAGACCTTCTAGGCTCAGTGTCCAGGGCCCAGTGCTGCTTGAGGCTGGAGTGTGCCGTGGAAGACAGGGATGGATCTCCACCTCCTGCGGCTTGAGCTCACCCTCCATAGGCCATTTTATTTGTTTTATTCTTACTGTGTGCTGCGTAGCTCTTCCTTCTTTTTCTGTACTTCCTCCAGATGAATCCATTTGGGAAAGAGACAGAAATCAGTTAAGAGATGCCAGATCCAACCACTCCAGCACACAGAGGGACTCTTGTGTTCTCTGTTCCTCTTCCCACTTTCCTGAATCACTTCTCTTTTCACAGACCTTTGAGATGAGCTCTCTCAGGAAAAATTAGAACATTTTCCTTTAAGAAAACAGGATGAGCAGCAGAAGGCTTCAGTCCAAGCTCATAGACTAATCTGGGGTTGGTAGAGGGCTCCAGGGTAAAATTTCAAACACGGTGACTTTGTGTTCTTGGAACGGATTAAGAGAGTGTAGGATTTGTCTGGGGGCACAGAGTCACACAGTAATTATTCATCATCCCGTCATATGTCGGGTGTCTCTGGGCCCAGCCCCTGTTTCAGGGCTGATCTGAAGAGCAAAGTCAAGTTTCTGAAAGCCTCTGATGAGATGCTAAAATCTGAGCTCTGTCTTCAGGGAACAGAGTCCTACCTGGTGAAGCACGCACACGCCTGTGGGCTAGACATTCCGCAACTGTCCTCGGCAGAGGAACACTGACCAGAATCTCAATAGAAGATCATGCACAAGAAGCACTTGTTTGAGTTTTCCAAAAAGGGACAATAAATAAATGATTTTGACTTTCTTGAAAAGAGTAACAGGAAACACAGAGTTGCATGAGTTTCGGGTAGAAAGTTGCATTAGTCAAGAATAACGATGGGCTGAGGTTTGTCTAAGGAGAAGAGCATGAGAACTGGGTTTCAGTCTCTGAGTCCTTCAGGGTCCAGGGCAGACAAGGGAAAGATGTCCTCACCTGACCCCATGCCCTCGCCCAGAATCACTCATCACCCTCAGATCCACAGAATCACCCTCCACCAGCAGACCCTCCACTGCCCCCACGGAACCAACCACCTTCCTGCTGACTCAGCCTGGTCCCTTCCCTTTCTATGGAACTGTCCCAGGGAGCTCATCTCCAGAGTTCCTGTGGGTGCCCTCTTCTGCCCCCATATTCGCAGGCCGGGAAGACTCATGTCTGCCCTTCACAGCCTTCTCCTGGAGGCAGGGATCGGGCAGGGGTTTGTCTCTCCTCCTTCTCACACTGTGTTCTCCGTGTAGAGTGTGTTTCTTTTTATCACTTGCTGGCCTCTCTCTGAGATTAAGCTGCAGCCTGTCATGTGGTGGTTAGACGTGTGTTTATCCTTCATCCTGTTGATCAGGAGCACCTGGATTTGAGCGATAAGGAGGCTGCATACCCAGATGTGGTTGGAGAAGAGAAAGGATTATGTCCAGAACAACCGAGCAGGGCTATGAGGTGCATTCTGTGAACAACTTACCATTACTCGGCATTGGGCAGGACACCCCAGCCCCCATACCTTCCAGGACAGTGAGGACAAATCAGAGCAGTGTAACAGTTCATGGAGAGTCCACTGCTCCCAAGCCATATCAAGACCCCCCTGAGAGCCACTGTTCATGGAAGTTCCCAATTGTAGGTGGAGAATTGAGCATTCTGGGGGCACCAGGCACTGAGGAATGACACACACCACCGCACCTTTTGGCAGAGCAAGATTTAAAAAACTCAAGTCTGAAAGACCATCTTGGTAGAGGGCCAAAGCTCCAGTTGGAGGAAGAGCTCCGATGGGCTCCTGACTCAGAAAATTTGTCTTCCAAGGGCCACTGCATGTGCCCAGAGTGTGTGAAGAGGAGATACAGCCCCTTCTCAGGGTCACTATGTCTACTTTGAGGCTGGAGCGAGTGACTCGGGAAGGAAGCAGCAAAGGGCCCTGAAGGCTCAGGTCCCATGGATCAGAACCAGGGCACTGCCTTTAACCCAATTTTAGAAAAAACAAAGGGCCCTGAGTGGCGCCACTCGGGAGAGCACCAAGAAGAAGTAGAGTTAGTGACTTTTCTTGCCAAAGAGATGTTGACCCACCCTGCCCAGGCAGGGGATCAACGGAGACCCTGATGTCCCAGTTCTTGCCCAGCAGGGACAGGCTCCTATAAAAGGTGAATGCCAAGTGAGGATGAGCCACTTGTTAAAGTGTATTGTTCCAAGGAGAAAAGGGAAAAGTCTGCGAGTATCCCTGAAACCCACAAGGCCAGTGTGAGGCTCCCAGCAACTGTGTCCAACGTGTCCTCCTTCCATCCCTCCCAGTGAGCCCATGTCTTTCATCAGGACCTATCAGCAGGTGCCATGGGATCAGGTCCCACAGGCTGCCATAGCCACTGCTCTCTGCTCTGTATTGTGGAGTTCATCTCCTGAGGGAGTCCTAAGGTCCACCTTTATGCATTTCCATGTCACATATTCTTTGAAGAGGATGATCTCACTTTTTCCTACTCCAAATATTTTTTTCTTTAAGTAAATATATGTGTGTGTAGATACATGGGGATGTGATATCCTCTCCTGCAGCTCTTGGGGTCAAGATTCAGGGTATCTCAGTAGCTTGTGCTTATATAATGGGGTAGCGTCAGTGCAGCTCTTAGTATGTGCCTGTTTTGGCCTTTAAGAGTTCTTGTTCATGGAGGGAAGTTGACAGTGGTACTCCATATACACTACCATCAACCTTATTTCATTTTTATCGATTCATGTATTCTATATTTAAAATACACTTTTTCTTGATTTTATCATTGAAAAAAATAATTTAAAAATTACCGTAAAATCTCCAAGGACCCATGAAACTAAGAAAAATCATTTAAGTCCCAAGCTCTGGTCCTGGCTCAAGCAGTCTTTCTCCTTCCTCCCTCATCCTGCTGAATTCCATACAGCTGTAGGGTCCATGAAGCTACGTGGGCCTAAGAGGGCAGAAATCCCCCATGTAGAATAAAAGACAAGAAACTTCACACATCACTAATTTGAGATTTGAAGCCTGTGGTAGCTAGGCTCTGAGTTTAGAAGGGTGGGGAGAAATCTATATCCCTCAGTCTCTTGGTCAGAGCTATTACCTTCACCCAGACTTTTCCCTTCCTGATGAAGGCTGGGGAGATGGACACTGCCCTCACGTCTTCATTTAGTCCTAATGAAATGGACAGCAGCTCACCCCTTCCCCTTCTCTCCTTATGCATGCTTGAGAATTGAAGGTAACACAGCACTTCCAGGTCTGTATGGGTGCATGTGCATGTGCGTGTGCATGTGTGTGTGCATGTGCGTGTGTGTGTGCATGTGTGTGTGTGTGCATGTGCATGTGAGTGTGTGTGTGTGTGTTCCTTTCTGTACCTCAAATGAAAATGTTCATCATTTATATAACCCTCCTCCCTATCTCAAGCCCTCCTCCCTATCTCATCATTTATATAACCCTCCTCCCTAATCTCAAGCCCAGACAGGATGCAAACAGCTCTGTGTGAGTGGAACATAACTGCTCCTGTGTGTGTGGTGACCTTGAACATGATGGACCTAGGTGGGTTGAGAGTGGGACATGAAATAATTAAAACAGTTTCTTTTTTCTGTTTTTCTTTTCTCCAATGGGAAGGATACCAGAGGGATGAGTGTTTCAAAGGAAGGATTATAGCAAAACTGGAAGGGGAAGGACATATTTACAGGCTTGGGCCAGATATTTCTTCACATATTCAAGTATCTTTCAGCCACAGGATAGGAAGTGAATTTAAAGGTAGGAACATGAAAACTAATTCCAGGCTTGGGTCAGGTCTCCTCACCTCTTTCTCACCACAAGACAGGTCATCTGTGAGGTGTTTCAGTGATGGGGACATTTGCCTGAAAGTGCGGGTTTTGGTGTTCTGTAAATTCACAGTGACAAGCTGTGTGAGCTTTTCTGCATGGAGGGCGTATTTTTGTGGGTATTGGTGTGATAGAAGCTGGGATGGGGTAAAGCTGAGGATCAGAGTAGTCGTTTAAGGATCCTAACAGCTGGGGTGCTGACCTAGAATCAAACTATGACCTTGACAATTATGTCACTCCACTGGAAGGATTCCTTCTGGAAGGAAGGGCCCTCCCCATGGAGTCTGTCCAGTTTCCGGCTGGACGACCTCTTTGACCTCTTTGCAAAAACAGAGATCACCAGTCCTTCATGGTGAGAACAGACACAGTGCAGCTACACAATGCCCTAGGGAAAACTGAGTCAGTGTGAGGAAAAACGTGAGTACACTGAGTGGGAAATAAATGGAATGAAGAGGGGAAAGAACTAAACACCTGTTGGAAGAAATGGAAGGTCTCCATTTTCCCTAATTGAAGCTCCTACCCTGTGATCTTCATGACTTTACTGGGGCCCTGACAGATTTCCTTCAGAGATACCCTCAGCTCCTGCAACACAGGTGGGACCTGCAGCTTTCCCGAGGGTACAGGGTTTCTGGGGCTTGTCCTGGACTCTTACTGAGCCCCGCTGAAGCCAAAATGACACCTAATATTTTCTCATCTCCATCTACGGACACTGGAACAAAGGCATTGAAGGGCTAAATGTAGCAGCTGCTGACAAATATGATTTCAAAAAAGTAAAAGCCATCGAAGAAAGAGGTTTCTTGAGAGGCCCCCATGATTGGTGTGGTGAAAAGCCTTCCTGGAGGCTTCTGATTTGCCCCTGCCAGCCCTGGGGGGCAAGAGAGGGAGTGCCATGGCTCTTCCTGGCTCCTGTCCAATACCTTTGCCCTGCCTGAGCTTCTGAACCATTGGTCTAGAAGGGAAATGCTAGCCCTAATAGCTGAGCTTGTTTCTATTTCTTTTCTCTAAAGCCCCCCAACGTGGTCTAGTTTGTGTAAAGAAGAGACTGTCTCCTGAGTTTGAGACCCTGTCTGAGTCCCTCGTCATGTTTTCCATCACAGCCACACATAAAGATCAACACTTCAAAGCAAACCAGAGAAGGATGTGGGGGAATAGTCAAAGCCCATTCCCAATGGGGAAGCCTCAGGGCAGATTGCACAGAGAGAGACCCATGCAGGCGGTGCTCGGGAAAGGCTGAGAGGCTGCATCCGGACCATGGGTGAGTTCACTGGTGGTCCAGAGGTACTCCAGGCAAGGGGCATCTCATGGGGAAAAGCACTGAGGGAGGAAGTAAGGCAGCACTTTCTGGAAGAGCCAGGAAGTGGGCCATACTGAACTGGGTAGAATTTCCTCACTAGACATGATTGCTCCAGGAGCCAGCAAACATTTATTTGAGTTCCTCCTCTGCCACTTACTCGCTCTGAGAACTTGATCCAGTGACCTAACAACCTGAGTCTGTTTCTTCATCTGTGAAATGCTGGTATTGATTGTGGAAACCTCAAAATGTTATTCTTAAATCCCGTTCAAATGTAACCCCCAATTATTTTTCACATGGAGGATAAATAAAAATAGGTACCTAATATACCAAAATAATAGTATTCGGGAGGGATTTCAACACATGGAGACAGGAGACAAGAAAAACAAAGTTTATTTACTTCAGTTATGATGTTGTGAGGCTAGCAAAAATATACAGAAAGGGATATATATAATAGATGTGACAAAGACCAGATGGTAACTTATTTCCAAGTGCTGTATTTCCTGGAAAGCTATATTTTCTCAGGAGGAATTAGAATACAGAATGAAAGGCTTGGTATTAGAAAGCCTGTTAATCTTTCTTGCTTCAATATTTCTTATGTTACCAAACTTAGCAATTCTTTCATTCATCCATTTAATTTTTTGTTTGTTTGTTTGTTTTGTTTTTTGGGACGGAGTTTCACTCTTGTTGCCCAGGCTGGAGTGCAATGGCACGATCTCAGTTCACTGCAAAGCGATTCTCCTGCCTCAGCCTCCCAAGTAGCTGGGATTACAAGCATGCACCACCACACCCGGCTAATTTTTTTGTATTTTTAGTAGAGACAGGGTTTCTCTGTGTTAATCAGGCTTGTCTCGAACTCCCAAACTCAAGTGATCTGCCCACCTCGGCCTCCCAAAGTGCTGGGATTACAGGCATGAGCCACCGCGCCCAGTCCCATTTAATTTTTTTTTAGTTTCTCCTCATATATCCTTTTGCTCAACACCTGGCAACCACCAATGTGTGTTCTATCTGTATACATTTATCTATTTTGGATATTTAATATAAATGGAATTATATAATATGTAACCTTTTGTCTAGCTTTTCCCACTTAGCATGTTTTCCGTGTCCATCCTTGTTGTACCGTGGATCACTGCTTCATTCTTTAGTATGACTGAATACTGCTTTGTTGCATGGATACACATACATGTATATACATTTATGTTTTTACTTTTACATAATGTAATACACACAGCTCAACTCAAAAGTTTCCTAATCTGAGTGGCCTTCCCTGACCACCCTCTCTTAAACAGGGCATCACTTGTCACTGTCTAGCCTAACTATTTTGCTTTATTTTTCCTTATAGTACAAGGTACTAATAAAGAGATGATATATTTTAAAATATTTTAAAATTTATTTTCCCTCTTCCCCTACTAAACTTTGAGCTCTTCAAGGGAATGGACTTTCCCTGAATTTGTTCACTATTACATCCTTTGTGCCCAGTTGCTGGCAAATAATAGAAGCTCAATAGATATTCCTTGATTTCCATGGTTTTGGGAGATCCAACTTTATCACGGGTCTTGGCTAAGTACTGGTAACTTAAACATTCAAAATGTGTGTCAATAAATTAGGGTTTATGTAAGTTAGCTATTTGTTTCTCCTTGATAAAATTGCCTGCAATTAATGTCTTTAACAATGCTTTTTGGTATCTCCTCATTTCTGTACAAGATAAAATAATTTTTAAAATTATTATTAATAATGTGAACATCACAGCCCGGGTCAAGTATTTTCCTCTCCTTTTCTGAGTTGGCGAATATAAACCGCGTGCTTGCTTATACATTTTTCCACTCCCTTGACCTTTGTTTCGCTTGTATAATTTTATTGTGCTTCTTTGTAGTGTGTCTGAGTATCGTCTGAAATTGGTTTCTTCAGTTTTGCTCGGTTTTCAGACAGAATAAATGATTTTATCTTCATGATTTCTATGGCTTCCTTCTTTTTTCTTTCCCTTTCCGTCTCATTCCATCTACATATGTTTGCTAGAACTGCATGCCATCTATATGATTTATGCAATGCAGTATAATGATATTACTTTCCATGATACTATGTATGGCAAGATTTTGAGTGCCTTCTGAATCATCAGTGCATGATATTCTAACAAAATTTTGAAAAGTTATAATCTAAGAGAGTAGGTATGGTAATCCATAACTAAAATTAGAGGACCAGACTCCATTGTCATGTTGGATAATAGAATTTGAAGTATGCAAGTTTATTTTTCTTTCCGCTTTTCTATAAACAGTCATTTTGATTCTATTGCTGACATATGACCAAATAACTTAATTAACACCTAATGTGGAACTTAGGACAGTGTGTAGAATAACAAAAGTTAGTTTCTTATTAGTGATGATAGTAATGATAATTATAGCTAAAGTTATCATGCTAGTACCATCTCAAGTGCTTTAATAATAACTTTCTGATTTCATTCTTACAACAATTCTGTGAACCAGATATCATCCTATACCTCATTTTAAATATGAAGAAATGAAATACTCCCAGAAATTTAAAAAAATTTGAAGATCATATGACTAGAAAGGGGTGAAACTAGAACTTGAAACCAGATGAGTGTGACACTAACACCTGTACTCCTAACAATTGTTAACATTTTGCCACATTTACTTTATCTGCTCTTTTATTTATCTGTGCTGAACCGTTTGCACGTATGTTGCAGACATCAAACCATTTTGCCCCTAAATATTGTAGTATACATAATCCAAAAATATACACATTCTCATACATCTAAGAAAACTAGCAGTGATTCTCTAATGTTATTGAGATACAGTCCATATTTAAATTTTCTCTTTAGTTTCATTTAATCTGGAATGGTTCCTATACTTTTCTTCTTCTTTTAAATGATACTGACTTGTGAAGAGAGCTGGGCAGCCGTCATGCAAGTCTCCATTCTGTATTGTCTCACCGTGTTCCCGTGGTGTGAACTTGTTTTTCTTCAACCTGTCTTAATAGTAAACTGGAAGATAAATCTGAAGGCTTAGTTAGATCATGGCCACAATTTTTGGGGAGAATACTTCACAGGTGATATTATGTACCTCATGTTGCCCTCATCAGAAGACACTTAGATTGTCTCACTATTAGTGATGCTTGCTTTGGTCATTTGGTTAAAGTAGTGACCACTATATTTCACATTTGTTAAAGCCCATTTTGTTTTACTTTATTTTTTAATTAACAAATTATCTGTAGGATGATACTTTGGCAAAATGGAAATATTCTGTTCCCCGGCAATGTTTCACCTGGTGAGCTTGATGAACCTTATCTGAATCAATTTATATTAGAGCTGCAAAATTATGATTTCATATTTCATTCCTTACACGCATACTATTAGGGAGGTGCAAAAGTAATTGCGGTTACATTACTATTCATGGCAGAAACCGGAATTACATTTGTACCAACCAGGTAGCTTGTATTCTTCTGTTCTCTGAGCCTCTGGAAGCCATAAAAGACAAAGCTTAATTTCCCTTCTTTCAGCAAAGGCCTTCGGGGCAAAAATGAGCATTAGTGTTCTGCTTATCTGTCTGAGCTACTTTTTTTCAGTTTTTCCCTGAATGTTCCTTACTTTCTTGAAAAATAATTAGTAAAGATATTTTTATATTTCATCTAGAATGTATAGGGTAAATGTAAATGTATTCTTTTCGCTATGATTCTATTTATCTTTATTTTCTTAGATTGGGCAAGTTTTCTTTTTTACTTTTCCTTCCTCTCGCCTGTTTGAATGTTGCATATTCAATATATTTAAAAAATTTAACATGTATATTTGCCATAAATCTAAAGTTAATTTACTTCTCTTCCTTCTTCTGAGAATATAAAGATGAATACCTTTACCTGTTAATTGTTTTATAGTATTCTAATTTTACCTTATTTTTTTCTTCTCATTGAAAACTACTCCTAGCATTATCTTATATAGTGTTATGTACTAAATTATGCCTGCTACAAACTCATATGTTGAAGCCCTAACCCCCAATATGACTCTATTTGGAGCTACATAATTATGGTAATTAAGGTTAAATGAGGTCATGGGGTGGGGCTGTAATGTAATGGGACTGGTATCTATATAAGAGGAAGAGGGCCAGGCACGATGGCTCACTCCTGTAATCCCAGCACTTTGGGAGGCCGAGGCGGGCGGATCACGAGGTCAGGAGTTCGAGACCAGCCTGACCAACATGGTGAAACCCCATCTCTACTAAAAATACAAAAATTAGTCAGGTGTGGTGGCGCATGCCTGTAATCCCAGCTACTCAGGAGGCTGAGGCAGGAGAATCGCTTGAACCCAGGAGGTGGAGGTTGCAGTGAGCAGAGATCGCACCACTGCACTCCAGCCTGGGCGACAAGAGAGATACTCCATCTCAATAAATAAATAAATAGGAAGAGACACCAGGGATGTGCATGCACAGGGAAAAGACCCTGTCAGGTTACAAGGAGAAGACCTCCATCTACAAGCCAAGGAGAGAGGCCTCATCAGAAACCAGCCCTGCTGACACCTTGATCTTGGACTTTCAGACTCCAGAACTATGAGAAATAAATGTCTGTTGTTTAAGCCACCCAATCTGTGCTATTTTGTTATGGCAGCCCTGGTACACTAAAACCTATATTCAATGCTTCTTTAGACTTAGCAATTCATACACTGCTTTCATTTCTCACTGCTCCTTCCTGTTACTCCTTCCTTCCTTCTGAGATTAATTTCTTCCATGAAGTATATCTGTTGGTAGTTCTTATAACAAATGTCCTCTCTCTGTCTCATTTATTCTTAACTAAAATTTCTTTTATATTATTTCTCACACTGGAATAATAGCTTAGTTAGGTAGTGATTCCATAATTACTTTTAATGCCTTAATTTTATTCCAGGGTATTGTAGACTCCATTTTTGCTACTTAAAAATATTAAAGGTACAATTGTTTTTTTTTTTAAGGTAACCTGTTTCATTTTCTTGGCTACTTTTAAAACCGATTCTTTCTCATTATATTCACTATATCCAGGTATGGGTTTTATTTTACTTGTCTTCCGATTCTTTCTCTGTGTTTCCTGAGTTTGAGGACTCTTGCGGTAATCTTCAATACATCACCTCCCCCCAGTTTTGGGTTCTCTTCTTTAGTGTTTTCTATCAAAGATACCTTAGTCCTTCTCATTATATCCTCAGTGTCTTTTGGCTTCTCTTGCAAGTGTCCGATCTATTTATGCGTGCTCACTCCCGGATAATTTCTTCACATATACAGTTTGCTAAACCTCTCTTCAGTGATTTTGTCTTTCTACATGTTTTACTTGATTATTTCTCAATTTTCAATCTTTTAATAATTTTTTTGATATGTCCTTTTTATTGGAAGTCCTCAGCTTCCATTGATATTAATATAATCATTTCAAGCGTGCTTCATCCGATAGCTTTATTGTCTGAAGTTCTGTGTGCTGGGTCTGCTGGCTTTCTTCACGGTCTGTTGTTTCCTCGAGTATTCTGCAGCTTTGTGTTTTGTGGGCTTTTCTTTAGAAGTCCTTTATCTGTGATAATTTATATTCAAAGGAGGTTTGCACTTGCTACTGTCAAATCCTATAATGATTATCACTGCCCTTTTAATGTTATTTTTTAAAATTCAGAAGTGTCCACATTGAGCAAGTAGTTTAAACCTGAATCCCAGGTCTATAAATTCATAGCAACGACTTTTTTTTTCAATCATAGTCCAACCTTAAGTTTTCTTCTCATCTGCTTGTACCAGTTGTTATATGTTTACTCATTTAATAGCCTTTTACTGATTTAATAATCACTCAAGTTTCCTGCCTTCATCTAAAAACTTGTGTGTTGGTTTGATTTTATTTTGGTGAAGTCCAATTTATCAATTATTTTTATGGAGTGTTCTGTGTTCTTTATAAGAAATCTTTGCATATCTCAAGGTTATGAAGATATTTTCTGTATTTTCTTCTAGGAGTTTTATACTTTTAGTTTCTATATTCTCTTCTGTAATCTCAGGACCTTTAAATCCTAAGCCCTTTGGTTATGAGAACAATAATACTCCAAACAGCTTCTATAGAATCATTTCCTAAACCAGGGCCTCTAGTTTCCAGTTTTCTTTTAGTTTTTGTTCCTTAGGAGACCCAAAGGCATACACAAAATAAATACATATGGGTATGATTTTAAATGACTGTTTGTTATATTTTTTCTAGGATTTTTATTTGGTAGCAGGATGGCTGGCAATCAACTATACTATACAAAGAAAAGTCCATGGTGGTTGTTACACAAATCCCACATTGAATGGGCTACCTCGCAAAAATCAAGTTCACAGTAAAAAGAAATGTACACAAAAGGGCAAACAGCCACTTCGTTGGGAATATATAGAGGGTTGAGCAGGATAACTTCAGTGCCAAGATTTTTTCACAGAAATCTTACTATAAAGTAAGATTATAAAATTCAGGTAAAGAATACATGAAGTTACTGGTATGCTGTCAAACAAATAAAATCCCTAAAGCCCTATGTGTAGTGCTTGCTAATTTCCATAGTGTCAAAACTCCTGCAAATGACTGACTTCAAATTCAAACTATCAATGGTTTACCAACTAACTCACAAAATTTCTGAAAATTTAATCATGGGTTCTTGCAAGCTAATATAAGCCAGCTCCCACACATCACTGTATTTCATGCATATTCCTGGATACTTTTTGTGGTATTTGTAGTACTTTGGTTCTAGTTCTCTATGTACTAGTTTGCTTTTTTCCTGATAAAGGAAAAAGAAATTCTAAGTTTGAATTTCAGACTATGCTTCAAAATATAGACAAGCAATTTTTTTTTCTGTAAAATACAAATAAGATATTTTAGGTTTTGCTGGCTACATACAGGATCTGTTGCCCATGTCCCCTACTTTCTCTCCCTTCCTTCTTCTCTTCCTCCATGCCTCCTTTCTTTCTCCCTCCTTTCTCCTTCCTTCCTTCCCTCCCTCTTTCCTTTTTCAACCCTTTAAAAATGTATACATCATTCCATAGCAGGCCCCCAGCTGAATTTGATCCAGGACTGTAGTTTGCTGACTTCTGCCTCTATTCTAGAAGCTTTGTGATTATTACTTCCCTCAAACTTTAGTTGAAATATCTTAATAAGATTATCATAGTGTATATTTTGTAGCTTCTGCTCCTATAATTATCAAATCAAGAAGTTTTCTCTGGAATCCTGTGCTCAGACAGTCCATGCTGAATCTGATTCTTTGGAAATTATTTTTACTGTAAATGAATATATAAGTTAATCAAGGGAAAAGATTTTATTTCTAGAATTTTTCTTTCAATGTATCTTTGGGATACTTATTGTTTCCTTTTTTGGCATTTTGAAGGCTTTCCAAGCAAAGCAAAACATTAGAGCATGTGGATTATTTTGCCCTTATCCAAATGCTTGAGGTTATTAATTTTTCTTTGTAAAAATGTTTTTACAGTCTTCCAAACAGGACTTAAGCTCACTTCCAGTGGTAAGTAAGGCTTGAAACCCCATGGCTTAATGGCTTTATATTATTTTAAAGACTGTAGAAATTGATGGATTATCATCAAGAAAATGAAAACAGTTTTCAGAAATACTTTGCTTAGAGAATTGAGCCTTTCAAAGCATCCCCCCTCCTCAAACACCAAGAATTATGTGGTTTAAGCTCCTATTATTTCTGCAAAGAGCTTAAAAGACTGGCTGACTAGCGTGAAAAAGCAATCGAACATTAATTGAACAGATTTGAAATAATTGAGTTCTACAATTGCTAAGAACATAATAAAGAATGTCATCAAAATTTCACCTGTAGATATGCCATCCCCAAAAATGCTTATGAAAATCATAGACTTTGATGTTAACAATGAAAATATATATGCTAAAAAATTCATTACGATACATCCCATAAAAATGAACCCTAGGCGTTTCTGCCTTATAGAAATACCTTCTGACAGGCTGCAGTTATTAGTTTACAGATTTGTGTATCGTTGAACCAAAATTGATGAAAATATAGAGCACCGTAGATTGAATATAGAAAACTCCACTCCCTAAAAGAATTCAAAAATAAAAAAATGAGAGAAAAAGGGCAACTAGGAGAAAGAAAATGAAAAAGAAAAATGTTTTTCTTTTATCTATAAAGTGAGTCTAGGTGGCAGAATGGAGACAGTTGTCAGTATAAGCAACAAGAAATCAGAGTCTAGGCCTATTGTGTCTGTTCTTTGTGAATTTGATCAGGGCGCTAGCTAGAAATAAGTGTGCTAGGTCATTTTAACTCAGAAATGTAGTCCTCACAACTTTTCAGTAGGGAACTATTTGGTGTAAACCGTTGTTTGAATAGTTAAGAAATTACCTATTTTTTTAAATAAGCAAAAACTTTAAGCAACAAGTTAATACTCTTACAGATCTGACAATTACATTGAGTTTGGTTGTCTTTTACAAGCTCATTAAAACCTTTTGCTACTGCTTTGGTGAATGCTGAGAAATAAATACTTTTTTTCAAGGGTGATGATGATAATCCACGTAACATGTATGTTCTAAAACAAAAAGCGATTTCCATATCACTGATGGCTCCCTGCTAGAAGATTATCTCTAGGTTACCACACATGGCTGATTAAATTCCATGGTATACTACTCCCCTTTGTGATACAAGAATGGGCTAGTTTGCTACTTAAAAACTATGGCAGATAAGGAAAGTATTCATCCAGTTTTGCAGCAAATGTTTGATGGTTGCCTCCTTTGTTCCCCATTCTAGAGATAGAGCAGTAAATAAAACAAAGTTAGAAAATTACCATTTGTCCATTGATGTGATGATAATTGATTCAGGCAAGATTTTTTTTAATTATTATTATACTCTACGTTCTGGGATACATGTGCAGAACGTGCTGGTTTGTTACATAGGTATACACGTGCCATGGTGGTTTGCTACACCCATCAACCAGTCATCTACATTGGGTGTTTCTCCTAATGCTATCCCTCCCCTAGCCCCCACCCCCCAACAGGCCCCAGTGTGTGATGTTCCCCTCCCTGTGTCCATGTGTTCTCATTGTTCAGCTCCCACTTATTTGTGAGAACATGCGGCGTTTGGTTTTCTGTTCTTGTGTTAGTTTACTGAGAATGATGGTTTCCAGCTTCATCCATGTCCCTGCAAAGACATGATCTCATCCTTTTTTATGGCTTTTCTTTATCCAATCTATCACTGATGGCTTTTCTTTATCCAATCTATCACTGATGGACATTTGGATTGGTTCCAAGTCTTTGCTATTGTGAACAGTGCTGCAGTAAACATACGTGTGCGTGTGTCTTTATAGCAGCATGATTTATAGTCCTTTGGGTATATACCCAGTAATGGGATTGCTGGGTCAAACGGTATTTCTAGTTCTAGATCCCTGAGGAATTGCCACACTGTCTTCCGCAATGGTTGAACTAGTTTACAGTCCCACCAACAGTGTAAAAGTGTTCCTATTTCTCCACATCCTCTCCAGCACCTGTTGTTTCCTCACTTTTTAATGATCGCCATTCTAACTGGTGTGAGATGATATCTCATTGTGGTTTTGATTTGCATTTCTCTGATGGCCAGTGATGATGAGCATTTTTTCATGTGTCTGTTGGTTACATAAATGTCTTCTTTTGACAAGTGTCTGTTCATATCCTTTGTCCATTTTTTGATGGGGTTGTTTGTTTTTTTCTTGCAGATTTGTTTAAGTTCCTTGTAGATTCTAGATATTAGCCCTTTGTCAGATGGATAGATTGCAAAAATTTTCTCCCATTCTGTAGGTTGCCTGTTCACTCTGATAGTTCCCTTTGCTGTGCAGAAGCTCTTTACTTTCATTAGATCCCATTTGTCAATTTTGGCCTTTGTTGCCATTGCTTTTGGTATTTTGGTCATGAATTCTTTGCCCATGCCTATGTCCTGAATGGTATTGCCTAGGTTTTCTTCTAGGGTTTTTATGGTTTTAGGTCTTACATTGAAGTCTTTAATCCATCTTGAGTTAATTTTTGTGTAAGGTGTAAGGAAGGGGTCCAGTTTCAGTTTTCTGCATATGGCTCGCCAGTTTTCCCAACAAGATTTATTAAATAGGGAATCCATTCCCCATTTTTTGTTTTTGTCAGGTTTGTCAAAGATCAGATGGTTGTATATGTGTGGTGTTATTTCTGGGGCCTCTGTTATGTTCTATTGGTCTATATATCTGTTTTAATACTTTATTTGGGAAGGAAGTATGCACATATAATTTAAATTTCAATGCAAATCAAAATATAGTCAGTGTTGAATGAAAGTTGCATGCATACATACCATAAAAATTTAGATAATCGAGTTAGACAAAGGAGTAAGAGCACATGAATAAATTGGAAAGTGACGTTCAACTGTGCTTAATGTGTAGAGTTAGATAAGTTACTTCTCTTTCCTGAGCTTCGCTTTGTCCGTTTTTGAAACTGAATCGTTACAATACATGCCTCATAGTTTAGTTTTTGCCCTCATCCATCTCCCAGAAATCCCTTTATAAGGATAAGGCCCATGTCAGCCTCTGTTAAACACTGTTTCCACATTATAGGCACTTGATAAATATATGTGGACTGAATGAATGAAATGATTTTTGTGAATTTGATGTCTTCATAATGAGAATGAAAATTCTGATACAGTCAAGGCATTCTAAGCACAATTGGTAGATAATAAGAAGAATAGCTCTGTGTATTGAAAAGCTCATATTATTAGCATCACCAAATTCTGACACCATCTGTGGAAGGCTTGAAGAAAGGGTGACCCTTCTCAATGCAGAAGAGAGGAGTGAACAGGCAGAAAGAATGGTGTGAGCAAAGTTCCTAAGGGAATGTTGACATCTTGTTCTTGCATCAATATGTAGAAGAATTTGACTGAGAGGATTTATCCCTTGTAGCAGTGGGAGTTAAAGTTAGACAGGTCTGTAGGGTAGACTTGTCACATCTCCAATTCTAGGAAAGAATATTGGAATCTATTTAGTGTCTAGTAAGGATGCGTTAAAGGATTTCAAGGAGGAGGTGGTATATCCTAAGCATTAGGAAGATTAATTTAATAATAATATAGTGAAGTTCTCAGAGGTAAGACAACCAGCTAGGATATTATTAAAATAACATTTTATTACTTTAATGTAGCTAAGTCTGTCTACTATTAAATATATGAGGAATCTTGATATTTTGCCAATACTAGTTGCTTTTTTAAAAACCATCTTTATTCTACATAATTATCCTTCCAAAGACTGAGGTACATATAATGAAAAGTACTTCAGGCAAAGCTTGATATTGGTTTACCCTAGAGGGTAAGGAGGGTTATACGTAACCCCTGGCATCCTCTTATTTATTTTAATTGCAACCAAGACATTCAGGGCATTTCCATCAAACTATATTAATGACCATCATAGCTATGGTTACCTGGAAGCAAGAGATACGCCCAGGGAAACTTATTACTTTATAAAAAGTTCATCTCATAGTGTCTTCCAGACACAGTTAAACATTTAGGGTCTTGGCAATGTCTCCAGAGTTTAGCAGGGGTATAGTAAATGGACTTAGAAAATGCAAAATTGCTTCATTTCAGATGGTTGCCATAAGTCATCCGTTACATGCTTACTGCACCCATACAACACCTCATTTTTGTATATTTTCTTAGGGATTGCCTCTTTTCCACATAAAAATAAGGAAGAGATTGGTTTGGGAAAGTGATAACAGATGATCAAGCCAGGTAGTACGTGTGAGAAGCGTGCAGAAACCAGGAACTCTCGTACATACAAATGTTTTCTTAGGCTTGCCTACTTAGAGGGCGGGGTCAACGAACTCTAGGCAGAAACTTCTATTTGTTGTTTCTAAAGACCTTGTTGGCTTTCTTTGTGAATATCTATTTGTACCTAAAATATTCAGTTGGCTCATTTTTCTAAACCCACAAAATTGCGTAAGCCATCTGTGGTATGTTGCCGAGAAACCGCTAGACTGATTATTGGATACTTTCATGGAAATTGTTTAGGCACCGGGTCAGTTGCCCCACATACTGTGAAGAATATGAGGGAAGTTGTTAAAAATATGAACAAAAACCTTAGAAATATAGCAACAAAAACCTATAAATATAGAAAGGCTATATTTATATCACTGACTGCTTGTATACTTGCTAGTTTTTCTCTACTTCCATATTTGCAAGTAGAGAAAAAAGTTTAGATTCTAGCACTTCTTTCATTTCCACCAGCATGTGTATGCAAAAAAGATGTCTGATATATCTCTATTTTCTCAAAGTATATATTTGCCTTGATTTTTTTATTTCACATTGATTATCCAAAAATAGTGTTAGGATTCTATAATTTTAACTAATCTTAATTCATTTTCTACAAAGGAAAACAATTAGCATATAGTAAATCCATATTTTAATATGTATTTTCCCCACATGAGAAAATTCCTATGAATCTAGTTTACAGACTATAGTGAGTTCTTTTGTGAGATGGGGAAACAAAGTTATTTTCTGTCTATTTTAAAGGCCTTCCAGGAAGCCAGCTGCACAGGGCTCAGGTTTCAGGAAGGCTGTGAGGATTCCTGGAAAGCACATTTTTGGCTTGGTAGAGTGATAACTCTTGCACAGGACTTAAATCTTGTCTGCAATAGGTGATATGTGACTTAAGAGCCTTAAGGAAGGTGATTTGTCACAGAATGTCAAACGCAACTCTTCAAAGGGACAAGCAGGTGAAGTGGAAAGAAATCATATCATGTGCCATTCTTTGTTCAGAAGGATGCGAAATGAGCAGTTGTTTTGAAACGGAGTTGTGCTGTTAGAACTGGATTTGCCACTTACTTGCAGTCCTGCAGAAACATGACACAATGGTGATATTTTTATTCCCTGGAAAAAGAATAATGAGAAAGCTTTTTTTTTTTTTTCAGGGATGGTGTTTTAGGGAACTTGATTTTGCCAATGCTGCTATTTTTGCTTCTATCTTCATAAAAGATATCATGGTGGCAGATAAGTAGAGAAAGTGTCACAGTTTGTATCTTATTGCATATTATATTTATCTTTAAGGTGGTTTAGCAACTTTTTATATCTTAAGAAAAAATTAAGATTAAAGGAATAATGGACTTCATTTTCTTCTATCAATTCATATTCATAGTTACTCATGGGTGTTTTTATATATATATATATATATTTTTTTTTATACTTTAAGTTTTAGGGTACATGTGCACATTGACAAACCTGAGAAAAACAAGCAATGGGGAAAGGATTCCCTATTTAATAAATGGTGCTGGGAAAACTGGCTAGCCATATGTAGAAAGCTGAAACTGGATCCCTTCCTTACACCTTATACAAAAATCAATTCAAGATGGATTAAAGACTTAAACGTTAGACCTAAAACCATAAAAACCCTAGAAGAAAACCTAGGCCTTACCATTCAGGACATAGGCATGGGCAAGGACTTCTTGTCCAAAACACCAAAAGCAATAGCAACAAAAGACAAAATTGACAAATGGGATCTAATTAAACTAAAGAGCTTCTGCACAGCAAAAGAAACTACCGTCAGAGTGAACAGGCAACCTACAAAATGGGTGTTTCTATATTGATAGCTGCATAATAGTAATTTATTTTACCTGTCTCATTAAGAGTGTAAAAGAACAAGAGTCTGTAATGTATAAATATCTTTGGATAACTCAATTCAGCATTACATTTGTTGATGGAGTAAATGGATGTTCAAATCATATAGTTTAGTTGAGAAGATGTGGAGTTCTTATTGATTACTATATCTTTTTTACTGTCATCTTGGGAATACCAGGAGTTCTGCCAGTAGAGGTACATTCATTTGACTTATTCAACGTTTTCTCAGGTGGTTTCTTAAGATGCAATTAAAGCAATAATAAGCACCAGAACATTTCCTTTAAGGTGAGAGGGGCAGAGGCCGTGCAATGGCATTGACTACAAATTGGATGGTAGGTGAAAGCTGTCATGATATGTCATAATTTTGCCAGTATTCCTCACCACACTTGGAATTGTATAATAATCAAGATAATCAATAATGCAATTAATATATAATACATATTATATGTATTTAATATATAATTACATGTTTATTATATGTAATAATATGCATAATTACATGTTATATGTATTTGATATATATAATATATATGTACATTTTAGCAGTACCTACATTTTAAACATATTTTACTTTATGGATACATTTTTGGAGCTCCTCCTCTAGTTCTTTTTTATTGTTATATGTAAGGGATGCAACGTGATGTTTTTATTTGCAGATACATAGTGAAATGATTACTGTAATCAAGCCAATTCATGTAATTGTCTTCTCACAGAGTTATCTTTTTTGCATATAGTAAGTGCGCCTAAAACCTACTTTCTTAGAAAATTTTCAATATACAGTATAATATTATTAACTATATTCCTCGTGTTGTTCTTTAGATCTCTAGATGTATTTGTCCTACAAAATTGCAACTTCCTCCTTTATTTTTATTTTATTTTATTATGAGACAAAGTCTCACTCTGTTGCCCAGGCTGGAATGCATTGGTGTCCTCTTAGCTCACTTCAGACTTGACCTCCAGGGCTCAATCGATCCTCTGGCCTCAGCCTCCCAGGTAGCTGGAACTGCAGGCAAATGTCACCACACCTGGCTTTCTTTTTTTTTTTTTTTTTTTTGTATTTTTGTAGAGACGAGGCTTTGCCATGTTGCCTGGGCTGGTCTTGAACTCCTGTTCTCAAGTGATTTGCCCACCTCAGCTCCCAAAGTGCTGAAATTGCAGGTGTGAGCCACTGCAACTGGCTAACTTCCTCTTTTAATTCTTAATGGTTTGGCAATGGCCTCTAGTATTTTACTTATAAAAAGAACAAATTATTTGATTACATGGGATGTTACGAGAAATATAATTTTCAATACAAAGACACACATTGTTTGCTAAGGGACGCCATACTATGAAGATAAAAAATTAAGCTGTGATTAAAAGAAGCAACATGTGACATAAAGAAATGATTTTTTTTTCTTTTTGCCTGATTTGGGGATTAAGGAAAGAAGAGTAAGGTTCAAAATATAGAGAGGAGAATAAAGTCATTTGTTTTTCACTAAATATTTGTTTAAACAAAAAAGCAATTTAAAGAAAGTGGAAACATAAAATCATTAAGATTATCTCTTTAAAGTGAATGTTCAGCCAAGTGAAAGGATGAAATGTAGAGTTGGGCATAGATTTTCTAGGATCCTGGGCCAAGCGTTGAGGCTATAAATCATGCAAGTAGCCACATAGCTAAGCAGCATGAAGCCCAGGTATGTTTACAAAGGAACATTCACACCAGGCCCTGGCAACTTGAACCTAATTTCTACTGAGCCCCAAATGACTGATGAAAGATGATTGCTGGAAGGTATTATTTCTTTATCTTTAAAAAATGACATATTGTGCAGCAGTGTAAGACATTCAAAAGCAGCTATGGGTATGCTCCCAGATCTTACTATACTTTCCAAACTACCTGAAGCTGAGTGCTCAGGCCTGGTTTATCAGTTGCCCAAGCAGATTGGCCCAGAAGGGCACAAGTCTGATTATGACTAATATAATCTTTGTTTTAAGGGGCTGTGAAAATTGACAAACAATATGGTGTAATGGTCGTTATTGCAATTTGACTTTATGATTCCCTATTTTTTTCCCTTGCTCTTGAAAAAACCTGAAACCTAGTTCTGTGTGTGTGTGTGTGTGTGTGTGTGTGTGTGTATGTGTGTGTGGTTTGTGTGTTTTAATGCGTTCTAAACTGCCCAAGCTCTTCCTATGTTCCAAGTTTTTCCCTTTCTTTTCTTTCCTCTACTTTCTCCTACTTTTCTTTTTTTCCTTCACCTCCTCATCCTCCTTCTCCCCTACTCACTCTCTTTCTTTCTCTTTTTTTCTTTCTTTCTATTCTTTTTGAGAGAAGAGGAAAAGCAGAAAGGAAAGATACTTTTTCAAGGTAAAGATGGTTAAATAAATATTGCATGGGACACTCACAAAATAAAATTGATTAACTTTAAAACTGTAACAATTTATCAGGAAAGTAGAAAGTTTTGTTTCTCTTGGCATGAAAATTATTTGCTTTTCTAATCTTTCAATTTAATAACAAATCTCCATCTTGAGCAACATCTTACTGCCCTCACCCTCCTTATGTTCTTAGATTGCATGTTGAAGAAGATAGTCACATAGTACATCAATTTTATAAATATTTTACACAAGAATAATTACACATAATCATGAAATAAGCTTGTTTTGTTATTCTTGCAGAAGAGAACAGGTTCTGGTAGACTCTTAAAAATATGTAAGTTGAGCAGAATTGCAGGGCATTTGTTTTTAGGGATATGTAAATGCTAAAAATGGAAATGAGACATATGTATTCATAAACATTATCAGTGTTTATAATATTGGCTAGCAAAGACTGTATCAAATTCTTGATTGCGTTCATAAAGATATCAGAGGAAAAAGAAAATCACCTTGTATTTGAGTTTTATGTTTATGATGATCAGGATTCTTAATCATCATGTAAGTTATGGAATAATTTAAAATTCTCTTTTGTCTGGGCTCTTATTTATATTTATAAGTATAGCCTTCCTTTTCCTGTTTCCCTGTCAAAGTAACTTACTGTCTCATTGTAATGTAGCAAACGGAACTGCCTTGGAGACAAGTCAGTTTCCCTAATAAGGTATTAAGCAACACAACATAATACATTTTGCAAATTCTTCCAACTGTCAAAACTCCTGTAATGCATATAAAATAAGAAATACACAGCAATTGTGTTATTAATTATGAAGAATAAAATTGCAATTGCTGAAACATAAAATACTTTCACGTCTTCAGGAAAAATGTCTCAGGATGAAATGATGATAAATTTCAATTAGAGAATAAATCTCACACTATAAATGTGGTTGTTCTAAAATGGAAATATACATAGCATAACTGCTACTTTATTTAATACAGCCATATGTTTGAGTATTTCCCTAGTCATCTACTGGATAACTGATTTCAGGAGGGTGCTGTTGGTAATAAGGTTGTTGGAACACTGTAGATTTTCTACCCCAGGGCAAAGTTCGGAAATACATTTCTTGATTGTCCATCCAATTGAATTTAATAGTTTTGATAACCATTGAGTTGAGAGTCACTATGACTTTGAAGTAAATCACAGGGGTTAGTGTTAATTCCCGAAGTTCTCCCTTTTCCCTCTGTGTTGATCACTGTCTGGAAAGCTCATATTCAAGTGTGTTATTCTTCTTGGACTGCCCTAACAAAATACCATAGTCCTGGTGGTTTTCCACTGGAATTTTTATTTTCTCACAGCTCTGGAGGCTGGAAAGTCTGAGATCAAAGCCCAGAGGGGTTCAGTTTCTGCTGAGGGCTCTCCTCCTGGCTTGCAGATGGCCACTTTGTCACTGCATTCTCATTTGATGGGGAGAGAGAGAGAGTGATTTCATTCTCTCTCTCTCTTCCTCTTCTTATATGGCTATAGTCCTATCAGATCAGAGTCCCATACTTATGATCTCTTTTAACTTTAGTTTCCTCCTAAAGACCCTATCTCCAGCTATAGTCACATTGGGGGTTAGGACTTCAACATATGAATTTTAGGAGGACATTTTAGTCTGTAGCATCAGGAATGAATTGTTTGGCTTCTGTTCTATTTCTATTTATATATTTATGTATTTGTTTATAGGGGAGGTATTGGAACATTCAGTAAATAACAAGACCAGCATCAAGTGAAATACAAATCATTTCTTATATATTAAACAAAAATGTTGTCAGCATCCTTCAAATTCTATTGCGTGAGTTCATTTATAATAAGCAGGATTTCTCAACCTTGGTGCTATTAAAAGTTGGGGTAAGTAAGATATTTTTATGGTGGTAGCTGTGCATTGTTTGAAAGCATCCCTGGTCTATACCCACTAGATGCCAGTAGAACCATGCAATTGGGTTAACCAAAAATGTCTCCAGATACTGCCAGATGTCACTGGGGAGGCAAAATTGCCCCCATCTGAGAACCACTATTTTAAAGAAAAGTATCAAAAAATTTAAATTTTGAGGAATTATGTCAAGCAATTACGTTCTTTATATTTTTATAACTAAATTAATTCCTATCAAACATAGGATTAATTAGAGACATTGAGATCGAAGAAACAAAACGTGACCTTTGTTCAGAAATTCTCATGCCTAAAGCCCTGCAATGGCAACTTATGTCACATAAAATAAAATCCACGCCATTTCAGTGTTGTCTGTTAAGTACAAATATTTTTATGATCTGGCTTCTGTTGACAGATCTCACCTCACCCTCCACCATTCACTCCTTGCTCACTCCAGCCACTATCTTTTCTATCTGGTTCATGAACAACTCAAGCTTTTCCCTGCCTTAGGGTCTTTGCACAAGCTGTTCTTTCTTCTCAGACCGTTCTTTTTTTTATGTTGGGGAATTTTTTTTTATTATACTTTAAGTTTTAGGGTACACGTGCACAACGTGCAGGTTTGTTACATATGTATACATGTGCCATGTTGGTGTGCTGCACCCATTAACTCGTCATTTAACATTAGGTATATCTCCAAATGCTATCCCTCCCCGCTCTCCCCACTCGACAACAGGCCCTGGTGTGTGATGTTCCCCTTCCTGTATCCATGTGTTCTCACTGTTCAATTCCCACCTATGACTGAGAACATGCGGTGTTTGGTTTTTTGTCCTTGCGATAGTTTGCTGAGAATGATGGTTTCCAGCTTCATCCATGTCCCTACAAAGGACATGAACTCATCATTTTTTATGGCTGCATAGTATTCCATGATGTATATGCGCCATATTTTCTTAATCCAGTCTATCATTGTTGGACATTTGGCTTGGTTCCAAGTCTTTGCTATTGTGAATAGTGCCACAGTAAACATATGTGTGCATGTGTCTTTATAGCAGCATGATTTATAATCCTTTGGGTTTATACCCAGTAATGGGATTGCTGGGTCAAACGGTATTTCTAGTTCCAGATCCCTGGGGAATTGCCACACTGACTTCCACAATGGTTGAACTAGTTTACAGTCCCACCAACCGTGTAAAAGTTTTCCTATTTCTCTACATCCTCTCCAGCACCTGTTGTTTCCTGAGTTTTTAATGATCACCATTCTAACTGGTGTGAGATGGTATCTCATTGTGGTTTTGATTTGCATTTCTCTGATGGCCAGTGACCACTGCTCAGTGAAATAAAAGAGGATACAAACAAATGGAAGAACATTCCATGCTCATGGGTAGGAAGAATCAATATCATGAAAATGGCCATACTGCCCAAGGTAATTTATAGATTCAAGGCTATCCCCATCAAGCTACCAATGACTTTCTTCACAGAATTGGAAAAAACTACTTTAAAGTTCATATGGAACCAAAAAAGAGCCCACATTGCCAAGTCAATCCTAAGCCAAAAGAACAAAGCTGAAGGCATCATGCTACCTGACTTCAAACTATACTACAAGGCTACAGTAACCAAAACAGCATGGTACTGGTACCAAAACAGAGATATAGACCAACAGAGGCCTCGGAAATAATGCCGCATATCTACAACCATCTGATCTTTGACAAACCTGACAAAAACAAGCAACGGGGAAAGGATTCCCTATTTAATAAATGGTGCTGGGAAAACTGGCTAGCCATATGTAGAAAGTTGAAACTGGATCACTTCCTTACACCTTATACAAAAATTAATTCAAGATGGATTAAAGACTTAAATGTTAGACCTAAAACCATAGAAACCCTAGAAGAAAACCTAGGCAATACCATTTAGGACATAGGCATGGGAAAGGACTTCATGCCTAAAACACCAAAAGCATGGCAACAAAGGCCAAAATTGACAAATGGGATCTAATTCAACTAAAGAGCTTCTGCAGGGCAAAAGAAACTACCATCAGAGTGAACAGGCAACCTACAGAGTGGGAGAAAATTTTTGCAACCTACTCATCTGACAAAGGGCTAATATCCAGAATCTACAATGAACTCCAACAAATTTACAAGAAAAAAACAACCCCATCAACAAGTGGGTGAAGGATATGAACAGACACTTCTCAAAGGAAGACATTTATGCAGCCAAAAGACACATGAAAAAATGCTCTTCTCAGACTTTTCTTTACCCAGTTTTTGTACAACCTCCTCGTCATTCAGGTTATAGCTCAAATTTTGCCTCATTTGAAAAGACTTTTTGACCACCCTATTTAGATGGCAAATTCCAACTCACAGCACCTACTATCTCATCCATTGCTCGATTGTTCCTTGCAGCATTAACACTATCTGAAACTATACTGTTTATTTGTTTATTATTTTTCCAATCTTCCCCCTTCCCATAAATCTGTACTTCTCTAGAATATAATCTAAATGAGGGCAGGAGTCTCATCTGTCATGCTCACTGTGTTATCCCCAGGACCCAGAACATTCCTGACCTGGACTGATGGTTCCTGCATATTTGTTGATAGGGAATTATTTGAAAAAAAGGCATTTTAGATATGCTTTTAAGGTTTATTATTGCTAAATTCAGTTGCCTTCCTTCTCTTTGAATGCTACCGCTTCCTACCTCAGGCCTTGCTAGGAAGATGAGCAGGCAGAGTACCTCCAAAAATAAAGTGTTGGAAACATATTTGTATCCCTTCATCTCAAGCTAGTTATTGAAACCTATGAGAGATACATAAAACACACAATTACTATTCTTTTTCAAAAAAACACATACTTATAGTGCCTTTGCAAATGTGTCATCAGAGATTTCAGACTTAAGTGAATAATGATTTTAGCCATTTCCTATTCTTATTTCTTAATATATAAACATTTTAAGAGACAGTACATCTCCCAACTTGAAAGTGCATTACTGATACCAAAAATACTTGCAGAGTAATAGATAAAAAGTCCACATAATTATATTTTATTTGACAGTCCTGAGGTTTTTCTCAATGACTGCACAAAAGTGTTAAATAGAAATGGCCTAGGGTTAGGCATTGAATCAATATGCACCAGTAAGTTTGCAAAATCAATTTTTTTTTTTTTTTGCTCCTCAGACACAGGAAAATTGATGTAACCGATGCTGTGTAACTCCTATTAATTGCCCACAGTGACAGAAACTTTATCAATTACTTATTGACTTCTTTGAGACCATGGGAGAATGGCAGTAGCTTCAAGGTTAAGTGTGTAATATAGAAGCCTTCCCTAGGCGAATGAAGATGTAAGTAGAAACCAATCAGATTTTATCAAACTAAATAGCTTTAGGTATGTATACCTCTACATTTGGGTTCACATATACATATTCGTCCCCCATTCATGTCTTGCCTCAGAAATTAGGTGTCTCAGAGGTGTCTATTTGTTAGGGTTTATGACAGAATCCCTGCTAATAATAGTTGTTAACATTTAAACCCACTTTATGCTAATCAAAAAACACAGGGATGAATGCAATCACTGTCTTCAGATAATATCAGAGAGGAAACATTACTGGACTGTGCTCTGCCTGCACATTCTGCAAGCAACAGAAAACCTATAAAATAGAGGCTTAATCACTTGAGATTGGGTTTACAGGTATAGTGTCCAGAGTTGATGCATTTGCTACATGGTGTCATAAGAAATCTGTTGACCTTTCTACTTTGACATCCTTAGTCACACCCAGTATGACTGATGCTCCTCCAGCCATTGTGTCTACATTCTAGACAAGGAATAAAAGGGAGAAGGTGAAAGAGCAAAGGGCCAAAATGGAAAGCCACGTGACTCTGCCCCTACTGAGAGCTTTCTTGGAAACCCTACTCAGGAGCTGCTTCTTCCTTCCCCCTGACTAAAATTAACCTATGGGAAGTTGAATATTAATCGGGAACATTAATGTTCCAAATGGATTGAGGTTTATATCTAAGTCCAAAGCAGAGAATGGATATCGAGAAGGCATTTGCTATTGAAACCTAGACAAACTCAGGTAAAGTAACCCAGAATCACATGGCAAACGAAAGGCTGACCCAGGCTTTGGGCTAGGTCTGTCTAACTGCAGAGCAGTACTCTCTTGACTCTACTCAACGATCAGAAAATTAAGGAGTATTGATTTTGTTGCTGAACTGCTCTGTGAGTTGACAATGAAGTTGCATGACAAAAAATATAAGAACCATAACATTCAAGCAGACTTCGAGAAAAACAAATTCACTTTATTTATTACCGATAAGGATAGAAAAAATGTGCTTAACACAACAGGCAAAAAATTAGAAATGCAATTTGTGAATTTGACACAGAAACTTGTTTTGCTATAGGTACTCATTTTTTTCACTGTAACGTGCACAGGTATGAGAAGTGTAATTATATATATATATATATATATATATATATATATATATATATATTCTTTTCCTGTCTTTAAAAGGACATACTTTTTTCGTGGTGATAGTAATTAAAATCCATCCTTTAAAAAAATTTCAGGTATACAATATAGTATTATTAACTGTAATCACCATGCTGTACATTAGATCTCCAGAACTTATTCATCCTGCATAACTGGAAAATTATACCCTTTGGCCAATATTTCCCCATTTTGTCCAATCCCCCAGCTCTTGGCAACCACCATTCTATTTTCTACTTCTATGAGTTAGACTTTTTTAGTTCCACATATAAATGAGATCATATAGTATTTTTCTTTCTGTGTCTGGCTTATTTTTTCTTAGCATTATGTCTTCCAGGTTCTCCTATGTAGTCACGACTGGCAGAATTTCCTTCTTTTCTATGGTATGACTGAATAATAGTCTTTTATATGGATATAGATGAATAAATATCCCATTTTCTTTATCCATTCATCTATCAATTATACCTCAATAAAACTGGAGAGAAAAAGATCAGAAAAGGACATACAGTTTAATGAAATGGCTTAAATTTCATTTCTAAAATTGTTCCAATTTTTTTTAATTTAAAAGCTACAATTGTCAAAAACATCATTAACAATCTAAATGTTCTAGAATAGAAGATGAGTTGGAACAATTGAAGCTTTTTTTCTATGCAGATGGGAATTAGCTGAGCCAGCATAGTCTTTGGTTCAGAAAGGCTAAATGTCTACTTTGATGTTATTCAGCTATTAACTAGTAGAGCCAAGAATTGACCTGAGGTTCATTATATCTTTTTCTTTTTCGTTAGATTTGCTTGGGTTTTATCTTCTTTACCATTTTCTAAAGCTTATTTTCTTATTGATGTCCTTATTATTTGTATTGACTTTTAGTGTTCAATATATTCCTTTTGCTTTCCTAGGTGCTTAACTAATATTTATTGAATAAATAAATGGATAATCACTCTGGTTATTGTTGGCATATAGACCATATATATATATGTATATACACACATATATATATATAGATGACCCTTGAACAAAACAGATTTGAATTGTGCGGGTCCACTTATTCATGGATTTTCTTCTGCCTCTGCCATCCCTGAGAGAGCAAGACCAACAATTCCTCATCCTCCTCTTCAGCCTACTCGACCTAAAGATGATAAAGATGAAGACCTTTATGTTAATCCACTTCCAATGAATGAATAGTAAATATATTTTCTCTTCTTTATAATTTTCTTAATAACATTTTCTTTTCTCTAGCTTACTTTGTAATGAGAATACAGAATAAAATACACATAACACACAAAATATTTGTTAATCAACTGCTTATGTTATTGGGAAGGCTCCCAGTCAACAGTAGGCTATTAATAGCTAAGTTTGGGGGGACTCAAAAGTTACATGTGGATTTTCAGCTGCATGAGGGTCAGCACCCCAATCCCTGCATTGTTCAAAGCTCAACTGTATGTGTATATGTGTGTGTGTGTATATATGAGTGTGTATATATGTATATATGTACAGATACACACACATATATATTCGGTTATCTCATGATACATTACATTGTCTTTTTTAATATAACAATTTAATTGAGATATAAGTCATTGGCTATACAATTCACTCATTTTAAAGTATAAAATTCAATGGTTTTCAGTGTATTAACAGACTTGTACATCCATCCCTACAGTCAATTTTAGAACATTTTCATCACTCCAAAAAGAAACTCCATATTGATTAGCAGTCATTCTCTAGTCATCTCTGCCCCACCACCATTAAAGAGTACCTAATTTAATTTCTGTTTCTGTAGATTTGCCTATTTTGATATTTCATACAAATTGAATCATACAATATGTAATCTGCCCTGACAGACTTCTTTCACTTAGCGTTATATTTACAAGGTTTATTCCAGTTGTAGCACATTCAGTACTTCATTTATTTTTATGGCCACATAATATTTCATTGTATGGATATGCCACATTTTATTTATTCATCTATCAGTTTTAGGACATTTGGGTTTTTTTCTACATTTTTAGGTATTTTAATTACTGGTGCACTAATGTACAAGATTTTGGTGGGAATGCATGCTTTTATTTCTCCTGGGTATATACCTGGGTTGGAATTGCTGTGTCCTATGGTAACTCCATATTTAACTTTTTGAGGAGCTACCAGACTGTTTGCCAAAGTGGCTGCCTCATTTGCCATTTCTACCAGCAGTGTAGAGGTTCCGTTTGTCATTGTTTTAATGTTGTTTATCATTAAATATGTGCTTTCCTAGCAATGTTGTATAAAGTTTGGAGGAGATTTCCTGATATTCTTAAAGGAAGAAAAGTCATTCTCCTTGGAGGAAATCCAAATTGATCACAGGTTGGTCAGGAGATGTTTGACTAATGAGGTCAATGAACATCAGAAATGACTGGAATCTTTTCCAAAGAGGGCGTGAGAAGAGGGCTGTGAAATGCCCAAAGACATATTTGAATGTTTGAGGTCAAGAATTCATGGATGAACACCATCTATAGTGTTTTCATGCTTTCCACAGAGTTAGAGTTTGGTTTATCTTACGTCAGGGAATTCCCTATGAAAAACACTTTGAAATTTTGTATTTTTTTTAGTAGCCATCAATAAGTCTGTAAATATTATTGATTCGTTCAACAGAGATGGGGCCTACAAATATACGTTTGGTGAAAGACCTCAAATGTGTCCCATAAAATCTCAGCATTTGGATCATTATTGTATGCAGTATTTCCTGGAGAGAATGGCTTAAGATGAAGACTAACATTCATTTTCAAGATCCTTTGTTGGAAGCTTAACCAATTGGATTAACTTAAAAGAGTGTGCTGGGCATGGTGACTCACACCTGTAATCCCAGCACTTTGGGAGGCTCAGGAGGGTGGATCACTTGAGGTCAGGAGTTTGAGACCAGCCTGGCCAACATGGTGAAACGCTGTCTCTACTAAAAATACAAAAATTAGCCAGGTGTGGTGGCGCATGTCTGTAATCCCAGCTACTCGGGAGGCTGAGGTGGGAGAATCGCTTGAACCCGGGAGGCAGAAACTGCTGTGAGTCGAGATTGTGACACTGCACTGCACTGCACTGCACTGCAGCCTGAGTGACAGAGTGAGACTGTGTCTCAAAAAAAAAAAAAAAAAAAAAAAAAAAAGACTGCTGGCCAAAATGACATTTAACAAAATTCAAAATGCAGAACAGAGGCACATTGTTTATTTAGTAAAATCCTACAAGGAATGAAAACTTTATCACTAGATGCAATGAAATCTGGCAATGACCAAATTGTGTGTTTGGATTCTTTCTAGTTTGATCTTCTAGGAAGACGGTTAATTTTTTGTCACAAGAAAGAAAAGAGCAACAGAAACAACAAAATAATAAATAACTCAAAAGGATCTCAAAATACTTTTTGTAATAAATGTATAAGCAAATAATATGGGATATTATTTTTATCTGTAAATATTATATTTTGACATAATACGCTAAAGGTAAATTTCTCCTTTAGAAGCTACATCTTTTCAGAGAAGATCTCACTAACAAAGCAAGAGTAGAAATTTTTGTTGTTATTTTTGCAAGTCTTGACACCGCTTTTCTTGTTAGACTTCTATAAATTCACGAAACAACTTTTGCAATAATCTGTTATTAGGATTAAAAAAAGTATCTTTGCCTCTCTATTGCTGGTTTAAGGTACATTTCCAAATTCTTTTTTTCTTTCATCAGAAGACAGGAAGACATCATTCATAATTTTCTGTCTAGCTAGTTTTCTTGCTTTTATCTATGGCCTCTTTCAAGCACTCCTTTGAGGCACTAAATCCGTTTAATACTTTTGCTATGAATGAGCCTTGTTAAATAAGACCATCGAGCTTTTACCATTTGCCAATTTTTCATGCCTTCTGGTATGTATTGGCTAGATTTCACAAACTATTTGAAAAGTAATCCTTAGTAAGATGATTTTAATGGTAACAAATTACATCCATGACACTTCTGTATAACAGTAAAAATCACCAACTCTTAAGTTTGGGTCCAAAATATATAACATATTCAAAAATAAATTAAAAACAGGTATTTCAATGTACAGTTCATTGGTGATGAATGAAATGCATAATGTATGTGGAAATCATTGATTGAATTAGCACTTAGAGGAGAGATGGAGATGGAGTTAAATTTTAGTTACTTAGGGGAAAATCCTTTTACTTAAAAGCCTTGGGAATACAAAATAAATAGCAGCATAAATAATTTTACAAAGCATCAATAATAAATGCACTGAATAAAAGGAAAATGACCAGATCAAGTCCAGTCATGAGATATCTCAAAGTAAAGTTTTATAAGGGGAAAAAAAGGAAATGTGTAGATGTTGCTGATGACTTCAGGGAATCTTTGTGATGTGGATTCTGTTTTGTTTTGTTTTGTTTTGTTTTGTTTTGCTGTCGAAGTGTGTGTGTTGTGTGTGAACTGAATAGGCCACAGAAAGATAAAATTAAACATGTTGAAACAGGAGAATTTCCTGATCCTCCTCACAGAACATGCTACAGGGGTGTGGCTCGCCTGTTCAGTCTCCCCTGCTGCTGCTCAAACTCCTGACAGGAGGGGGAGCACGCAGACAGGCAGGTGCAAAAGCCAGGGTGAGTGCTTTGGGCTCTGGCCCCTTGGGAGTGTCTAGGGGTGAGTACCTGCGGCCCCAGTGTTACAATGCTCTTTTAGCCTTACCATCCACAGACTGCTTAAGTGTTAACCAGCTCAATGGACTCTCTACCTTTTAGCAAGGGCAGAGGGCCGGTGTGACAGCTTTCTGTATACCAAACTCTTGCCCAGAGTCCTGGAAGTATCGGGTCACACATGGGCTTGAAGGATGAATGCAGGGTTTTTTTTTTAGTTTTTTATTTTTTATTTATTTTATTTTATTATTATTATACTTTAAGTTTTAGGGTACATATGCACAATGTGCAGGTTTGTTACATATGTATACATGTGCCGTGTTGGTGTGCTGCACCCAATAACTCGTCATTTAGCATTAGGTATATCTCCTAATGCTATCCCTCCCCCCTCTGCCCACCCCACAGCAGTCCCCGGAGTGTGATGTTCCCCTTCCTGTGTCCATGTGTTCTCATTGTTCAATTCCCACCTATGAGTGAGAACATGCAGTGTTTGCTTTTTTGTCATTGTGATAGTTTGCTGAGAATGATGGTTTCCAGTTTCATCCATGTCCCTACAAAGGACATGAACTCTTCATTTTTTATGGCTGCATAGTATTCCATGGTATATATGTGCCACATTTTCTTAATGCAGTCTATCGTTGTTGGACATTTAGGTTGGTTCCAAGTCTTTGCTATTGTGAATAGTGCCGCAATAAACATACGTGTGCATGTGTCTTTATAGCAGCATGATTTATAGTCCTTTGGGTATATACTCAGTAATGGGATTGCTGGGTCAAATGGTATTTCTAGTTCTAGATCCCTGAGGAATCCCCACACTGACTTCCACAATGGTTGAACTAGTTTACAGTCCCACCAACAGTGTAAAAGTGTTCCTATTTCTCCACATCCTCTCCAGCACCTGTTGTTTCCTGACTTTTTAATGCAGGGTTTTATTGCGTGGTGGAGGTGGCTCTCAGTGGGATAGATGGGGAGCTGAAAGTGGGGTAGAGTGGAAGGATGATCTTCCCCTGGAGCCTGGCCGTCCGGCAGCCAAACCCCTCTCCTACCACCCCCAGTCGAACTCCTCTTGGCATTGGGACGTTCCTCTTCCTCTCTCTCTGCTGCGTTGTTCTGCCGTTCATCTGCCTGTTTCCTCATCTCCTCATCTGCTTGTCTGCTTCTGGAGCCTGGGGTTCAGGGTTTATATGAGTACAGGATAAGGTGGAGTGGCAGGCCAAAAGGCAGCTTTTTGGGAGCAAGAACAGAAATGCCTGTCCCCATTTAGGAACGTGGATCTCCAAGCTTGAGGGTGGAGCCTTTGCTAGGGAACAGCCTTCTTCTACCCAGTATTTCCCTATCTCCTGTCCATATCAATGTGATCTTCCCAGAGACATCTTCAAAAAGGTGTTTTTAGATAAGAAATTGTTCCATAGCTCTTGCTGTAATTTTTATTTTTGTTCCATTGTTCTCCTAAAATCTTTAGAAATTAATTTTAGTAGTCTACATAATGACATTCTAACGTTATTCTCAAATAAATCACTGCCCATTACCCACAGTAAGAATGAATCACCTAAGATCACTACACAGGGCATGAAATTCTTGGGGGCTCTTCTAATTATATTTTGTAGATCTCGGCAACTGCTGTTATAGTAGGTGATAGTTGTTCTTGATTTTTCATTTCAGAAAATACTACATTTGTTAACTCTTTCATTAGATTTTTACATATAGGATTACCATGTAATTTATCATACAAATTATATAGTTTTTTAAAAGTAAACTGAAGGTGGCACTATTGATAATTATGACAGAAAAATAGGTATAGGCTGGGACTTAAACTGTGATACATGTTTGCCCTATATATGAAGATTTTACTTCTAAAAAACCCTCTACTTAGCTTGATTTATCCATACTGAATACAACCAAAATGTTCTCCCACTATGGAGTGAATAAATATTTATATCATGATATACTACAGTGGCATATTTGTATTAGGTTGGTACAAAAGTAAGCACGATTTTTGCCATTTAAAATAATGACAAAAACCATGCCTACATTTGCATGAACCTAATACAATGGAATATCACAGAGCAAGGAAATCAGAGTGAACTACTGCTACCTTCAACAACATGAATGAAAATCATAAGCATATGCTGAGTTGAAGACGCAAAATTACATTTATATGTTACTCAAAAATGACAAAAGTAACATATGGTAAAAAGGTGAGAATAAGGATTTTCTTTGATGGATTACTAATGGGCAAGTGGTGTAGGGGGTCTTCTGAGGCTCTACATATCTTAGTCTGGTTCGTAATCACATATTTATACATGCCTAAAAATTTATTATCTTATGACAGGCACTATACTGAACACGGGTTATACTTCAAATAATTTTAAATAAATGTAGGGATGAAATACTATTTCTAGTCATATCAGTGAATTCTCATCAGAATAAGATAAATGCTGGTCAGACAAAAATAAAACCAAAATGAAGCAAATGTTTTCTACTGGGACCTCTACCTGGTGAGTTCCCTATATGATACCTCTCAGAGGCACCTTTCTAGCTGCTCTTAAACTTTTGTTTGAAAGGTGCTCCCTGTTCTTCACTGAATTTAGCTTTGTTCTTCCCCATATTTATCAGCTTGCTCATGCTGAATTCTGTTTCTTAAATACCTTCCCTCAATAACTGCCTGTCAAAATCTTCATTCTTCAAAAATCCAGCTAAAATACTTTCCTGTATTATTGCTTTCTCTTTCACACTTACAGACCTTTTTCCCATGTTTTCATTTTATACCCACCTTTGATCCATCTTTCTTTTCTCCTGTTTTTAAATTATTCATTCAATAGATGAGTTGGACCTATGCTTAAAGCAGAGCATACATGGATGTATAAGACCATCTTTGTCCTGAAGGAGCCCATAGTTTCTTAGATAATGGCCCTTTTCCTCTTATGCTTTCTAATGTAGGTATTTTGTTCCCCTATTGAAAGTTCCTCTACTAGATGAAAACTTCTTAAAGGTGTGAAAAGAGGGGGAGTAGCTCTTATTCAGCTATGCATTCACTGTAATGTTTCAGCAAGAGAAAAAATAGGGACTCAATAAATACTTGTGAATTGAAATAAATTCATTGGCTGAATTGCTTGAAAATTATCTGTGGGAAAATGTTATAATGAATTCTACAGTTTGTCTAACAATAGGTGGCTGATAAGATTAGTTAAGCACTTTTAATAACTCAGGTTCATTGTACAAAAAATACCCTACCTATAATTTAAGCTTTTCCCCAGTAGAATGACTTCCCAGGGTTCCAGCAGATACTGTGCAAATGAAGTTAGTGTATTGCAAATGATTCTGCTTCCCTCAGTTTTAAACACGGCTCTTTTCACAGTTTGGACACAGGGTATATGAGATCTGTCACCTGGACCCTTGTGAAGTGACCTTTTGTGGTCCATACCACTTCATTTCCAGCATGCCTATGTGTTAATCCGAGGTCGACTGCCCAATTCAGTTTGAATTAGATTCTAGTCAGGTAACACATTGGAGAAGCTAATTTAAAAAATTTTTAGGAGAATATTTTCTTCCTGTTCCCCTGTTGCATTACTACTTATCCTCAATTCTTGTGGAGATACACCTTAGTTTACCTCTAAGATGATCCATGAGATCACAATGACATTATATTCTACTCTATTGTGTAATTCTTTAAACTTTCTTAATTCTTACAGTCAAAGTTACACTTAGAAAGAATCCGAAGTTCTGTATATCTAAAAACTCAAATAGGGATATTTAATATTAAGAATAGATATACACCCACATATTGCATTCAATATATTGTACACATAATTTAATGAGTAAGTTAATAGTCATTGTTTCTATTTATTTCTTGTTTTGTAGATTCAACTGTTCAACACTCTTTAGGACAAAATATATTCATGAAAATTATTCTTATCTGGGAATATGGTGTTCTAAAGTGAGAACACCTTCGAAAAATATTCCAGAAAAAAAATCTTAAAGCAGGTGGATGGGAATTTCAGAAAGGATGTTTAATAAATTGTGAAGGCCTTGTCAACAAACATATTCCAGCAGAGGATGCATAACCATTTGTTAGAGGTGCTGTACAAATAGTTGTTACCTTGGCTAAGAGGTTAGTCTTGATGACCCCTTAGAACATTTGTAATTCCAACTGTCTAAGAAGAAAAGAGATATGTGCCACAGAATTGAGATTTTTAAACAAGAATGGCCTATTTTGATTAGAATAATAATACCAATAAAAGCTACAATATATTGAGTGCATATTATTTTCCAGCCACTTAGCTAAACAGATTTAAATTGCTCTATGATGATCTTCATAAAATAAACAATGCATTTAACATTTTTTCCAAATCCAAATAAATCTAAGTTGATGACTCCACTTCCAAAATTGGCCAGAAGTCCAGTAGTAGCCGTTTTCTAACAGACCCCTTTCTTCTCCCTTGTGCAGTACGTGCAGAATGAGAAGGGTCTTATTTGAATCTACACTTGACACTTTGGCAGCTGCTTTTTTTCCCCGGCCCAGCTGGTCATTGAAAGGTAGGCTACTCCCCTGGTACACCACTTCCTGTAGGACAAATAGACCCGAGGGCCTGCACTGAGATGCTGAAATACAGAGCCTGGTCTTCATTGTTACCCACACACATATTCACCCAACATTCTGCCATCTTAAGAATATGGCACAGTGATTCTCAATGCACAGTATCAAATCCCAGGAAATCCAGCATACGTAGAGTCAATCCTTCAATACATATGTCTTTGTTTTCTCAAGTATACGTTCTGTTGCCATGGGTTTAAAGGCCTGTTAGGGTACGACTTCTTGACATTTCAAGAATAATTTTTAAAAATACCCTCTAGGGATAATAAAAACAGTGAACATTTGGAATTATAGGCCCGAACATTCTCGTGAACGTTGAAAGGGAGCCAGAAGAGGGAGAGAGAGAGAGAAAGAGAGAGAAGGTATTTGAGCATTTGATTTCATTCCTTTTTAGTAAATCTACGGTAGCAAGAAACAACTTATCAAGTTGTCCCACTACATTAATTTCTGAAGACAACTTATGGCTAATAAATTTCACAAACATTGAATGTAATACTTACAATTGCATTATATTATTGGAATTATTGCCCCATTTCATAGATGAGGAAACTGAGACTCAAGAAAGTGAAGCAACAATCCAAAGTCCATACAGGTAATAAGCAGAGGGAACCAGGATTTAAAATCTGGTCTGATTCCTTGGGAAGCTGTGTTCATAATCACTGTAGCACACCACCTCTATAGTATCAGTATCATGCTCAGGAACAGTTCATCCACAATATTCCAAACACCTGCATAGGAGGTTCATAAATATTTTTTCTCATGTGGATGTAAGAGTCAAGGATTTAGTGCATTTGAAATCATATGATATGATTAGATTAGCGTTAGCTCCAAGTTATTCAATTCGTAAAAACTGGTGACTGGGGAAGCTTGTCAAGAGCTGTGAAGAGTCTGACATTTTACCCTGGTCCAAGGTAACAAGCTAGCCTGCAACAGTTTCGGGGTTGTTGGCGGAAGACAGGAAGGGCAGTATAGATGGGCCCAGTTTGATATCTGCTCACAAAGTGGGTTTCTTTCTGAAAGAAACCCTGTCCTGAGAGAATCCAAGTTACTTATTTATTTATTTATTTATGTATTTATTTTTGATGGTGGTTTATGCTTTTAGTTTTATTTATTTATTTTTATTATACTTTAAGTTCTAGGGTACATGTGCACAATGTGCAGGTTTGTTGCATATGTATACATGTGCCATGTTGGTGTGCTACACCCATTAACTCGTCATTTACATTACGTATATCTCCTAATGCTATCCCTCCCCCCTCCCCCCACCCCACAACAGGTTCCAGTGTGTGATGTTCCCCTTTCTGTGTCCAAGTGTTCTCATTGTTCAATTCCCACCTATGAGTGAGAGCATGCGGTGTTTGGTTTTTTGTCCTTGCGATAGTTTGCTGAGAATGATGGTTTCCAGCTTCATCCATGTCCCTATGAAGGACATGAACTCATCATTTTTTATGGCTGCATAGTATTCCACGGTGTATATGTGTCACATTTTCTTAATCCAGTCTGTCATTGACGGACATTTGGGGTGGTTCCAAGACTTTGCTATTGTGAATAGTGCCACAAGAAACATACGTGTGCATGTGTCTTTATAGCAGCATGATTTATATTCCTTTGCGTATATACTCAGTAATGGGATTGCTGGGTCAAATGGTATTTCTAGTTCTAGATCCCTGAGGAATCGCCACACTGACTTCCACAATGGTTGAACTAGTTTACAGTCCCACCAACAGTGTAAAAGTGTTCCTATTTCTCCACATCCTCTCCAGCACCTATTGTTTCTTGACTTTTTAATGATCGCCATTCTAACTGGTGTGAGATGGTATCTCATTGTGGTTTTGATTTGCATTTCTCTGATGGCCAGTGATGATGAGCATTTTTTCATGTGTCTTTTGGCTGCATAAATGTCTTCTTTTGAGAAGTGTCTGTTCATATCCTTTGCCAAGTTTTTTATAATGGACAGTAAACCTGTCTATTTTTTGTTTTGAGAGGGATATTAATACTTTCTCTGTCTTCCAAAGGTGTTTACTATACAAATTTCTTTGGGACAATTATCTGAAACGAAAGGGCAATCAGTTTCTTGCTCACAGATGTGCAGAGATACAAGAGCTCCATGAAGAATTATCTCCCAACCCTGCCACTTAAACTGAATTGATGGGGAAATTTGTGTAAATAAGAAGTATTACGTGAAGCACTTGATTTTGATGTGAAATCTTATTTTTCTACATTGAAATAATGGATTACTTTGGAGTTGTATAGATGCTATCAATTTCTGTCTTTTTAGTAAAACATACACTACATTCATTAGAGCAAAGATTTGCAATTGTAAATCTTTAAAAATATCCCCGACCAGTAAGATAAAATGAGCCATGAGGCTTAACTATAAGGCAATTATTAAATGGGCTCAGTGTTGGAGACACAAGCAAGAATGCTGCAGAATGTGGTGAAGAGAAAGCGTGCATTTCATTTAAGAGAGAGGAGTATGGCTGGCACAGTGGCTCATGCCTGTAATCCCAGCACTTTGGAGGCCAAGGCAGCCGGATCACTTGAAGCCAGGAGTTCAAGACCAGTCTGGCCAACATGGTGAAACCCCATCTCAACTAAATACAAAAACTTAGCCAAGTGTGGTTGCCCATGCCTGTAATCACAGCTACCTGGGTGGCTGAGACAAGAGAATCACTTGAGCCCGAGAGGCGGAGGTTGGAGTGAGCCGAGATCATGCCACTGCACTATAGCCTGGGCAACAGAGTGACACTTTGTCTCAAAATAATAATAATGATGATGATGATGATAATAATAATAATAAAGGAAGAGGAGTGATTTAGGTTTGGTTAACTGCTTCCAGATTTTCCAGTTATTTGAGAGAGGTCGGAATGCATTTTATATGTAGTATCTGCTGATTTTTAAAGTAGACAATTTAGCAATTTCAACAGCCTCAACAAAAATAACAAACTGTGTATATATATATATATATATATATATATATATATACACACAAATGTGTGTGTGTGTGTGTGTGTGTGTGTGTTCAGAACAGATCTGGCCCGGGGGCTTCTAGTTTTTATCCTCTGATTTGGTGCTTTCTAAGAGGAGAAGAGAAAAATTCGAATACAGTTTCTGGATCCCCCAGGTCTGAGAACATTCATATGATTTAATAAGATTATAAATGATTCAACTTCATTGAATGCTTACAAAGATATTCATTTTTATTTCTACTATTCCTTAATTTTCATTCTTGTTGAGCAATACTATAAAAAGGACCCATGTGGATATTTTTTTCCTGTAGTGTTTCAATAACTGTGGCTTAAAAAATACTGAATGCATCAGTACTTTTTAAAAGGAAAAAAAAAGAGTGTTTCTTGTTGCCATGCTATTTTTATTTTCTCCATTTTTTTGACAGCCATTAGCTACTTATGTTTTTCATACTGGTCTGCATTTGAGAAGCCAAATTCAAACCGCTGGTAGAAAATGATAAGGCATCTAAAAGAAAGGATCAGAATGGATGTTCTAAGTGTTCTTTTTGGAGCTGTCAAGATTAGCATTCTTGCACTGTGATTTGAAAAGTGTCCAAGAGAGAGTCACCATATATTTTAGGCAAAGAACTTAGGAAGGGGAAGGATGTTGTTCATAACAACAGGGAATATGATGGATGTATTGTCACATGTGTACTAAGAATCCAAATTGTGTGAAGAGAACTCATGTTGTTAAAAGCCTCATATTGTGTGCATATCTATATCTGTATATCTATATCTAAAATTGCATATACTTTTATTATAAATTATGTATAGTTTAATATTATATATTAAATGTTATATAAATGAACAGGCAAATTAATGTACAGCATGATTCTGGGAAAGGCATAGAATTTTTCTATCAGGGACATACTGGAAAAATGAGGCAGGGTATAAGGTACAGGGGAAAATAAACTATACTGGGAAGGGAAAAACTTTGATTATTGTTTCAGTTTTGTTACCAATTTGCCATCTGACCTTGGGAAAGGTATTTAAATTCTTCAGATTTCAGCTTTCCTACGTGTAAAGTGAGTGGGTTGAGCTAAGTGCCAATCTGCTAAGTGGTTAGGTAGTTGCAGCCTTCTGCTGTTTATGCTGATACATCACAGAATGCAAAGTGAACACAGTTGTTCCTTGGGCATCTACTGAAACACACTAGAAGCCTTAAAGCAGAGATTTAAAGTTGCTTATTGACTCCAGAGAGTAGATTTGTCTCAAAAATGGGTTGTTGATCCACATGGGGTATTCATCTTTAAAATGATTGATAGGATTTTAAAATTAGGAGATTTCCTATTTTAAAAACCCTGATTTCTGAGTCCTTTTTAAAAATGATCAACACTTTAAAAGTTTCTGTGTCCACATTTCTGCCTACTAACTATTGGCTAGAGCCAAGTAACAACTGCCCTTCTTATATGGGGCACATGCTCACCACTCTGAAATCATGAGAAAAATTGTACGTCTTTGTGGGACACATGCATTTTTCTAGGGAGGAAATCTTTGGTTTTCATCAGAGAAATTTTAATCCAAGAATTTTAAGAACCACTGCTATAGGCATGATGAAAACAGTGCTGTGGGAAGTAAATAAAGGACAACAGGCAAGATGGTGTGTAGTGGAAAGAATAAAAAATGTAGATTAGTTGGAAATGTGTGATATTAAACACTGTTAATTGAAAAAGGATTAAATTAGAATCATAGGCGAGACGGCATAAGAGTGATTAAAAGGAAGCGTGGTATAATTTCAAAGTTGAGGGGCCATGTTCATCATTCACTAATTTAACAACTGAGGAAACTGAGACTCAGATAGGTTAAGCAAAGTGCTGAGATCACAAGCTGAAAACAAAATGCAGGATTTGAATTCATTTTTACTGACTTCTCATCTAACTCATTTGCATCACTCCTTTTTTTCTCTTTCAATTTACGACCTTAAAGAGGCTCACACTCCTGTTGAGGCTACTCATTGATTACTCGTCTGCTCCAAGTGTCAAATGTTTATAAGCCCTTTTAGGGGTGAGCTCTAGAAGAGATAAGCACTCAAAACTAAGTGGCTGACATATAAATGGTACCCTAGAGACATTTTTTCGACAAAGGAATCATTATTTACCCCGAACAAAGTCCAACATTTCTTTTTAAGCTGGATGGCCCTCCTCTGATGTGTGAAAAATGCAGACAAGCCCCATTATATCCCATTTTGAAAGATGTTTACAGTAGTGGAGGATGGATGGCGGGAGGAAATTCATATAAGATTATGAGGAAAACCATAATTAATTACATTAAATGGTTGCATTTAACAAGAAGAGATTTTAAATTATAGGGTAAATATTCACCAAGAATTAGGTGGCACAATAGTCATTAATTACCCAAACTGTTAAAGTCAGCTTTCTTTCTTCATTATCCATTCTCTATTTTGAAAGAAGATGTGTGTGTGTGTGTGTGTGTGTGTGTGTGTGTGTGCGCGCGCGTGTGGGGGGGGGTGATGGACTACAGTTTCATAATATTAATGACTGCTATAATCATGCACAGTACAGGTTCTGTTGGAAGATAGTAGCTTAATGCTACTGAAACATAAACTTTTATCAATATTTCTAACAGTGTCTTGGAACAACAATGACCTAAAACCACCTGCTGTTTTATGAAGTTATCACAATTAGGCAACTGCATGGTTGACATTAGTTTTATTAAAAATATAGGATTACTATTTTTAAACAAATGTAATGGCATAAAATGAGCAATATTATTACACATCAGGGCATTTAAAAATTAGGTGCTTTTGATATAAACCCAACTTGTAGGATAAAAATTAAGCATACTTGGTTTTACCTTGAAAAATCCAATGGCTTAATTCATTTGCAGACATTAGATAATTTCTCTCTGGGCTGGGGGCAAGAGGATTTCTCAGATTTACAGATGATAAATAATATCGCAGATATGAGAAAAGAATGTATATATGCTGCTTTTAGTACCCACTGCCATTGTAACTATAACCACAATTTAATGGGAGTTGTTGGAATTATCTTTCTGGTTATTATGCATCAAAGAATAGCTACTACCTTGTACATTGTCTGAAAGAAATGTTGCACATATGGAAGAGAACATATTCTATGTATAATTTTAGAGAACATCTTGCACAATATTCTTTCTTGTAATCTTATTTCCAACCTAGGGTAATCATGATCATCATCATCATTATCATCGTCATCATCATCATGAAAAACTAATAAGATTCATTATTGTTATTGCTTGCTATTATTAGTTTCGTTGCCATTTCCAAGGGTAATAGTTGAAGTATATATTAGAGCAATAGTTCTCTCATTCATTCATTGGCTCTTGGCTTTGCCAATCTCATTCTGAAGATAAGAAATCAATCAGTGCCTGAATATGTCTCTTTTTTTGTACTTGTTATTTTGCTTATAGGTGTTTAGTGTGACTCTTTATGAAACTAGAATATCGAGAGGCAAAAATCTTTTAAAATTTAATTTAATGAAAATTAGACTGTAAAACATACAAGCTTAGAATTGGCTCAAGTTTATTTTATAATAATTGAATAGTCACAGTTAGAGGCACCTGTGACCTGAAAATGCTGGTTGAATGGTATTTTCGTATTTACAGAGCAGATACCATAGCTAAAGTGTATTTTACCAGCATTATCAAATATTGGATTCAAAGTCTCTTTTAATACATTTCTGATAAAAATATATGCAGATACATTGATGGATAATCTGTTAGGCGAAATCAACCCTAAAATGGTACCAATTTCCACATTTGGAAATTCATTTAAACTTTGTTTTGTTTTGATCTTGTAATTTAATGAAAAGATCACATTGCACCTATTCTTTGCTCTTTAAGAATGTCAAAATTTAAATCTATTCCATGGCTCAGAATGTTTCTCTATATGCTATTAATATATAAAATCGAGGTTCTGGGTTGAGTTCAAGATGGTGTGATTAAATAAATATTTGTGATTAAAAATTTTTTTCTTTTAAACATGAGCTGCTTCATCAAGTCTTACTTTATATGAATTCATTCCTTTCTCTGTCATAATTTTTTTCTCCCTATCCTTTCCCTTTGAAATTTGAACCTATTTTGTTACAATCACTTTTTTCATAATAAGTTTTTATTACCACTATGCACTCAACTCTCTTGTTCTACTAGAGAGTGCATGGCTTTTGTTTATTGTTGTTATTTTTCTTCATTATTTTTAGTTTTATTTTTTTCATGTTTATAGGTGACTTGCTTTGGTAATTTTATTTTGATATTTCACAGACTGCTTTATCTGTTAGCAATACCACATATGAAATATAGATTTCCTTCAAAGATATAATACATATAAAAGCTAATTGTGACTTCAAATACTAATTACCTATACTAAACTATGGTTTCTTTAGAGATATTCAGTAATATATCTTTCTCACTTTTTGTTGAAATATAAATTAGAAAATATACTCACTTCTTATTTTCCTCACATTCATATTTTATTCTGTGCTTTTTCTCACAATTAGAAAATTAAAACAACAAAGAAAGTTGAAGGAGGGGAAGAAGAGAACACTTAATTGTAAGAGAAAGAATTAGAATATTGACTATTTGAATGGCCAAGCATGTTTCACATATAATACAAAGATAGGAAATGATGAAAAATGAGATGTGGAAGAGAGTAGTAAAAAATCTCTATGATTTTGATGAAAACACAAAGAGGAGTAAAACGTACATTACTCTTCTTCGATCCTTTGTGACCGTGCACAGGCTTTGGCACAGAGATGTAGTCACTGATTATAATTAGTTGAAGACTTTATTCCCAACTTCCCATCTTTCAAATGCAAATTAGTGTTTCTATGACAAAAATAAAAGTCCTTGACACCCTCTTGAAGAAGGACTCCAGTAAAATGAATAATCAGTTGAGATGAACAGCCTACAGTTATCAAGAAAGGATTCACAGATCCTGCTTTTCCAATAAAACAGAAGGAACTGTTGGAATATAATACTTGCTTCAAAGAACCACTTTATTATGAACAGGTAAAATAATAATATCCAATCAAGGTCTAGTGAAATGAATTGCCTGTGTGAGGATGGACTTGGCTGCCCAGCTGCATTTGATTATGCATAACTTTACCTTCACACCAAGCATTCATGTTTTTATATTTAGAGGTATATTCCCCAAAAAGTAACTCTTAAAATATCATATTATCAGAAGAAGTGCTTCCATCATTTCTTTCTAACAGCAGCATATGTTGTTTAAGAAAAAAAAAAAAGAAAGAAGAAGACAAAAAGACAAAAACCTTCATTTAATTGTTTTTCTAGGCAGGTAATTATCTTCTCAGTCCTGTCTAACTTATGTTAGATGCTAATTTGATTGAAATATTTGTGAGATTCTTCCCCCCTTCCCCCACAATTTTTCTCTTTTTATTACATCGTGGCAGGTTAAATTCCTATAATTTATATTTGTTTACTTTTTCCTCATATATGTGAAGATCTTTTTTCACAAATGTTTCAAGTAAGGATGGGGTAACTTCAAATGTTAAGATCTCTTCCTGGTAGGATAAACAGGCATTCTTGGGATGACTGACAAGACTTCTTAAGCTTATTCGAAATGGACTGAAAGCAGATAAAATAATGTAATATCTGAACAGATTTTACTCCTTTAAATGCAAACTACTTTTTTACTGTGTCAGAAATAGTTCCTTTAGGTATTTGTGCACATCTGGCTTTTATGAAGGACAGTAATGAAAGTGAAAATATATTAATATTATCATTCCAAAGGGCCACTATTAGTTAAGTACCTATGATGTGTTAGAAACTGTGAAAAAACATCTTTTGCATTTTATGTTATTAAATTCCCATGGAGTCCCATGAAATGGTTTATATTATTCCCTTTAAAAAATAAATAAAATAAAGTACAGAGGAGTTAATGTTACTTGCCCTAGATCACAGAGACAGTTTGTAGCTGTCAGTATGATAGCAAAACCCATTCTAATTCAGCTGAAGTACAACTGTTTTTAAACAAATAACCTTATATAGCAATTACTACTGGAGGAACTTTAGCTACCTACAAAAATATACGTAAATATCTTAAAAAGGCTGAAAAATGTTTGAATGTGTGGTGATATAGTAGTAGTAGTAGGTTATCTATGGCTGTGTAACTACAGCCCTAAAACTTAGTGGTATAAACAAACATTTGCTATCCTTGCAAGTTTGTGGATCAGTAGTTCAGGTAGGGCACAGTGGGGATGACTTGTCTCTGTTCCATGACGACTTGGGCTTCAGCTCGGGTGGCTCAGTTGTGGCCATATGCTTAGTGTTTCAGCATTTGCCATTGGCTGGATTCTTAGTTATTTTCTATGCCAACTCTACTATGTCTGGAATGTCCAGGATGGCTTTTTCCCTCACCTAACGAGGCTGGAATGGCTGGAACTCATCTTTCTTCTCAGGGCCTCTCTAGATGGCTAGCCTGGACATCCTCACAGCATGACTATCTCAGAGTAACTGAACTTCTCACATGGCAACTGGCTTCTCCCAGAACAAGCATTCTAGGAGGTTCGGGCAGAAGCTGAATGTCTCTGATGAGCCATCCTTGAAAGACCTGGAATGTCATTTCTAACTGCATCCTATTGAGCAAGGGCGTGAGAGCCTTCTCTGGCATGAGTAACAATGTGGATAATGGTGAGACTTGAGTGACTTTGCAAAACTGCACTAAAAGCATCCTCCTGACAGGAGAACGGCTTCGCAGCGAGTCTGGGATGGGCTGCCTTGCTGGGGCACTGACAGAGAAAGAAGAATTAAACCAGATGCTCCCATGCAAAAGATTTGTGTAGCTGGGGAGGACACTACACAAATCCACACATTCACAACATCCTTCACAGACTGCCAGCCAGCTAGCCAGAGAAAGAAACAATAACAACTAGCTTAAAATCAGACTGTGTTCTTGCTCAGTGAGGACATGAGATACTGCCCTTGTCCCTAGCTCTGCCTCAATATTCCCTAAAGGTGAGCCAGCCCCTACATGGGGGAGGAGCAAACCATGCTTCAAGATGCTCTATCAAAACTTGGTATGTGATTTACAGATAATCATTTTTAGTTACAAGGTTAAAGCAGGCCAGGTGGGGTGGCTCATGCCTGTAATCTTAGCACTTTGGGAGGCTCAGGCAGGACGATTACTTTAGACCAGAAGTTCAAGACCAGTCTGGGCAACATACTGAGAGCCTGTCTCTACCATAAATAATAAATAAATAAAAATAAAAACACAACAAATTAGGCAGGTGTGATGGCCCGTACGTGTAGTCCCAGCTACTCAAGAGGCTCGGGTGTGTGACAGAGTAAGATCCTGTCTCAAAAAAAAGTTAAAGTGATTAAGATCATGTAATAATATACAATATATAATGAATATATATATAAAATGTATATAATGTATATATAAATACATATATTTATAGTACATATTTTTATTTGTTCAAAATATATATTATGTAAGTATAATTGATATTATATATTACATATATATTTAAATTTGCTACTCTGACTTTTTCAGGTCACTTAACTGTATAAGAATAAGGTTAAATAAGAGGGTTTAACATCTACTGTAGTTATGAGTCTAGACTTAGGAAATGATACAACCTCTGGAATTACCACTAACTTTTTGGCCAGGTTTTATTTTGTGGGTTGTTAAAGAGGAGGCATATATAGAGAAAGACCCACGTAACAGAAAAAATCAGTGACTTCTAGAAGCAGATACAGGATATATAAGGGAAGGAAGAGAAAATATGCCAGATTGATGTTGAATTTCTGGCTCTTGGTTCTCAGTGTATATAAAGATCAGGTTTATTTCTGGACTTTGGCTTCCATAAAACAATTATTATCTATAAACAAAGTTCATCTTTTCCCTCAGCTAGAAAACAATAATCACAGTTAGAAACGGCATCTTGAACAAGATCTCAGGATGTCTAATAGAAATCTCTTATAAATGTTTCTCTAAAGACATGTTTGGTTTGAGACCAACCCATGACCTGTAAGAAACTTTTCAAGAGGGACATGAAGTGGCCAAATTAAGGCTATGTCTAAGATTATATAATATCTGTAAAAATGGAAAATGTCATTTTTCATTTCCAGAGCTTACTGTACTTATTAAAAAATGTTCTCCTTTTTTTCTTCCTATATTAGGCTGTATTACTTAAATAGACCAAAATATATGGAAAAGAAATTCTTCTATTTAATATAATTTTGCTAGACCATCAAATAATTGGAAAAAATGGAATACATTATTAATGTAAGAAAATCAATCTCCCAACTTTCTAAGCTATTTTCCTTATTATTTCTTTCCATTTATTCCTATTTATCATTACCTGTTGACTTTTAAGGGCCAGTGCTGATATTTATCTTTTGATGAGGTTACTTTATTTTAGACTCAGAGACTGGAACAAACCATTATTCACTAATAAGTATCATTTATTTTCATTTGGCCTATTGGATTCTTACTAGGTCGATGATTATTAAATTGAAATAATAAATACACTTGAGGACTGGCATGTTGCAAACCATTTTTTTTCTCGGTGCTCTTGAGATGAGAACATTTATAAGATCCTGCAACCCTTGGGTTTGATTTTCCCTACTGCTGCTCACCAGTGACCTTGGGCAATTATCTCTCAGCATGCTGTGACTGTGTGCCAGTTGAACTCCAGAAGCGGCTAGAAGCTTCTGAGGCCTGAAGCTCTGTAGAGATCCTTAGATTGAGGCTGTTAACTTTAAGCAATAAAATCTGAATTATGCCTCCATTTAGTGACAACTAGGATTTTGGTATTATTGACCGTTGAGATATTTTAAAAAGCATTTTCTTTGATATACTGATTTCTTTTCCTTTGGATAAATACACAGTAGTGAGGTTTCTGGATTGTATAGTCGTTTTCTTTTTAGTTTTGTGTGAAATCTCCATACTGTTTTCCGTAGTGGCTGTGCTAATTTACATTCCCACCAACAGTGATTAATAGTATCTCTTTCTCCACATCCTCAACAGCGTTTGTTATTTTTGTCCTTTTAATAATAGCTATTCTAACTGGGGTAAGATGATATTTCACTGTGGTTTTAATTTGCATTTCCCTGATATTGAGCATTTTTTCATAATACCTGTCGGCCATTTCTACAAAGTCTTCTCTTGAGAAGTGTCTATTCATGTCCTTTGCCCATTTTTTAATGGGATTATTTATCTTTTTACTTTTGAGTTGTTTGAGTTTCTTGTATATTCATAGTATTAATTCCTTGTTGGATGAATAGTCACATGTTTATTGCAGCACTATCCACAATAGGAAAGATATGAACTCAACCCAAGTGTCCATCAACAAATGAATGGATAAGGAAAATGTAGTATACATACACTATGAAATACTATTTGGCTATTAAAAAATGAAATCTTGCCATTTGCAGCAATGTGGATGGACTTTGAGGTCATTATGTTAAATGAAATAAGCCAGACACAGAAAGGCAAATTTTGTATATTTTCAGTCATATGAGGGAGCTAAAAAATTTATCTCATGGAGGTGGAGAATAGAACAGTAGATATCAGAGGCTAGGAAGGGTGTATGGGTATAAGCGGGGGATGAAGAAAGGTTGGTCAATGGATACAAATATAAAGTTAGATAGAAGGTATAGGTTCTAATGCTCTATAGCAGAGTAGGGTCACTATAGTTAACAACAATGTATTATATGTTTCAAAGTAGCTAGAAGAGAGAAATTAGAATACCCTCAATTTAATCATTATACATTCTATCCATGTAACAGAATACCACATGCATTCCATAAATATTTCAAATATTATGTATAAATAGAAAATGAGAAAAAAGGAAAAGCAAATTTGTATGTATTTGGCTGGATTTGAGTTATCTCTTAGGACAGAAACTCAATTTCAAATAAATGTTGGCCGGGCGCGGTGGCTCACGCCTGTAATCCCAGCACTTTGGGAGGCCGAGGCGGGCGGATCACGAGGTCAGGAGATCGAGACCATCCCGGCTAAAACGGTGAAACCCTGTCTCTATCTCTACTAAAAATACAAAAAATTAGCCGGGCGTAGTGGCGGGCGCCTGTAGTCCCAGCTACTTGGGAGGCTGAGGCAGGAGAATGGCGTGAACCCGGGAGGCGGAGCTTGCAGTGAGCCGAGATCCCGCCACTGCACTCCAGCCTGGGCGACAGAGCGAGACTCCGTCTCAAAAAAAAAAAAAAAAAAAAAAGAAAAAAGAAAGAAAAGAACAAATAAATGTTGTGTGTTCCTTATAATATTAAATATAGGCGTATTAATGTCAAGTAAATAGAATATGAAAATAAGAGAAATTGGTTAAAGAGGCAATAATTTAGAGTAAGTGAGGGAAAAAAATCAGTACATTCGTTGGATTGGCAGGTATTTGATGGACAAATAACCGATAAAACTTGTGGCATCTCAGAGCTTTGGCTTTGGCAGTACACACACACACACACACACACACACACACATATATATATTTATACTTTAAGATCTGGGATCTATGTGCAGAATGTGCAGGTTTGTTACATAGGTATACACATGCCATGGTGGTTTGCTGCACCCATCAACCCATAATCTACATTAGTCATTTCTCCTAATGCTGTCCCTCAGCTAGCCCCCCGACCCCCCGACAGGCCCTGGTGTGTGATGTTCCCCTCCCTGTGTCCATGTGTTCTCATTGTTCAACTCTCATTTATGAGTGAGAACACGCAGTATTTGGTTTTCTGTTCTTGTGTTAGTTTGCTGAGAATGATAGTTTCCAGCTTCATTCATGTCCCTGCAAAGGACATGAACTAATCCTTTTTTATGGCTGCGTAGTATTCCATGGTGTATATGTATGTATTTTATCTTCAGTTTGCCATTTGAAAAATGGGCCTACAATTTGCAAAGATTACAACTGTTTGAAGTCTTCTGAGAAAGTTGTGACATAATTAGAGACCAATAACTTGCTGCCCTTCCCCATGCATATTTCTATTCTAAATAATATAGTGAAAATTAATAGTAAAATAGATTAAGTTTTGAGGTATCTATCTATTTAGCTATCTTCTTCATGCTTAGTTAGTACTCCGTTATGTTGAATGGATGTAGATAATAGAAACAGACAATACAGAATTGGAGTAGTTAACACTCTAAATTTATTAAAATTATGGAAAGTTATAGTTCTATTCTTAATGTTTGCATTATACTAGAACAAGAGTTATAGTTGCATCTTGCAACTTTTAAATGTGGTTAAGTGAGAGGAGAGTCCCCTTCAAATCATTTTATGATCCTGTCTCTCTCCTATTGGTTTTAATTTCAGCTACCATTTGTAAGCTGAAAATTCCTGAATTGTAATTCTTGCTAGACAGAAGAAAGGAAAGATGTGCTTGGAAAATTCAGGTGTTTTGCCACAGTTCCCAAAGTAAGCATGAACAGTAATTATCTTATCCACATAGTGATTGATGTGTTATGACTCAGATAGAAAGCCCTTGATATTTATAGAAAGACTAAAAAAGCCTGAGAGTGAGGCTACAATCCTAAGGTACATGTTTTGTTATTTTCATTCCATCTGAGTATCTTTCATGAAAAAGTAAATTGAATCTGTTCCAAATGCTCAGCATCTTAAAGTTGTTTCCCAAAATATACCTCTCAAGTAATCTGACTAATTTTCAATACGTTAGCATATACTCTAGTTTACTTGTGACTTAAAATCGTGATTTTGAGCAACTAAGTGAGGAATCAAATTATATCTTCATATTTCATAAACTGATTATTTTATATATGGCTTCATGGTAAATGGGTATTCAGTTTTGTCATTAAAATTTTAAGTTTTGACTGCAAAAATTCTTCATTTAATTGTTCTGTCAGCAACTCAATTGCTCCATTCAAAACTGGAATATTCAATTTTATTTAAACTTGAAGCTCTGAGAATGTTTTATTTAAGAACTTGGCTTTCTTCTCTTTGTACCTCTACTATTTCTTTGCATAGAATTCTGTTTACATAGAATGTAAGAAACTGTTGACGAACAAAATTATGAAACCTGGTACAAAACTATTTCAGAAAGGTTTGAAGCAAGGAAAGAATTTGTTTCTGTGATTTAGAAGGCAAATAAAAGTGCAATAACTATAAAGTATATGCAGTGTTAGCTGCTGAGTCAGTTTTACAATTTAGTTGGTGAAAACAAAAGTATGAGATGTTAGTACATTTCCCAAGGTATGATCTGTGGAACACCATTCCTGTGAAATACTTTGAGGAAAAAGATTCAATGATCACATAAATTTAGGAAATGCTAATTATCTATCTCCTTTCTGAAGATTTACAAGTCCTCAATCATATTAAATATTCTGAAAAGTTTGCTGAAAAATAAAAACTATATAAAATTTATTTTCTCAATTTTTTAAAAATAGAACTTTAAAAAATACTATTGACATCTCACAGAACAATTTTTAAGAATCACTGCCCTAGGATAAAATAGGAGGGGGAAGTATCGGATAGCTATTTGATTTCCTGACTGACTTTGAAATGCGAGAGAGAAAAAGAGAGGGAGAGAGATAGAGTATCTATCTATCTAGAGAATATTGAGTTTTTTTTAAACAACCCTTAGTAATTTTCTTAAAAGGATGTTGAGACCATGAGATTGTTAGGTTCGTGTTGATATTTAATAATAATAATTGACATGGCTAAAATTAGCATATGTGCCATGCATTGTTGGTGCATGTTATGAACTCACTAGATCTCATCTCCATTTTATAGATTTGAAGCAAATCAGAGAGATTCAGTACCTTGACCAAAGTCTCTCACTATTAAGGGCAGGGACAGGCTCTGAACCAAGGCTGGCTTTAGTCTACAACCCATGGGTTTTCATCCTACCACAATCCCTTCACCTACTGAGCTGGGTGTTTTATGGAGATAGAGAAGTGGGAGTGATTAGATACAGAGTTGAAGTAAGAGTTCAACTGTGAAAGAGCCTTGAGAAAAAAAAAAAGGAAATTTAAATAAGTGCAGAGTAGTTAAAGGATATATTAAGACTGTACAAAGAAAAATTTTAGAGAAAGAATAATTGAGGTTTGTTGGAAGGGTCTCTATAATTACAAGTGATTTTCCCCAGAGCAATTTGACAGAGCACTATGGGTGTCAATGCAGTGTCATTATTGCCAACCAAAGAAAGAGAAGCATCTGTAAAAGCTTCTAATATATGTGTATACACACACATACACATATATTAGAAAAGTTGAGAAATATTTCATAGCAAATATTATCTGAAATTACTAGCCTTATAATTAGAAACTCAAAAATTATACTACCAGACTCAGCTAAAGCCTGCATTTCTCAGCCTGGTAGAATTTAATGAATGCACTTTGCTTTCACAATTTTGTATGCTTCATGTTTTAGTGAAAATGCAAGAATATCCAATTTTCTGATGTGTCAAGTCACTGGACTGGGGAGGTTATGAGATGTGCATCTAGTCCCTATTTTTATTTTCCTTCATTTCATTCACATTTGATGGGTCTTATTGTTTCCCCAAAGTGTTCTCAGATTGTGTTCCGGAATTTTGAGATTTTGTTTTCTCTTAATGGTTTTCCACGATAGGCATTGTTGAATAGAATAGGATGAAACACTGTGAATATGTTGCATTTGCTGTTGTGTGCTAATTCTCAAAGAAGGAAATTGTGGTCAGAACAAGAACCTCTGATCCCTCTAGGACTGCACTGCTCAGTAAGAAGTCAGTAACACAGTGTGGTTGGCCCGAACAGAGACCTACTGTCAGTGTATATAATACAGACTGGATTTTCAAAGTCAGGACAAAAAACAAAAAAGAAATATCTCATTTATAAATTGTATATTAATAAAGTTAAAACTATAACATTGAATCTTTTGTGCTATATAAAATATATTGTTAAAATTAATCTCACTTGTGTCTTTTGACTTAAAAAAATCTAGTTACTAAAAAACTTTTAATTGTATATGTAGCTTGTATTATATTTCTATTGGAGAATGCTGCTTAGAAATTATTATATTTACTTAATTAATTTAAACAAATATATCATCATTGGGGTTAACTCCAAGGCTTGAACCATTTGGGAGTTAGACTAAAATCTAATGTATGATTCAAGAGGAAATTCTAAAGTATGATTAAAAAGAATCCCAGTAGTATCTATCTTTGGCAACTCAGGAAATAATCCATATGCCCACTTGTGCAGTTGATATTGCTCTGTCTCTTCTCTATGTGAGTAGAGTGTGATTCTGTCCAGTGCTTGGCTACACCGTGTTTTCCTTGGTGACTCCCCTACTAAGATGCAGGCCAGGCACAGTGACTCATGCCTGTAATCCCAGCACTTTGGGAGGCCAAGGCAGATGGATCACCTGAGGTCAGGAGTTCCAGACCAGCCTGGCGAACATGGCAAAACCCCGTCTCTACTAATAATACAAAAAAAAGAAAAATTAGCCAGGAGTGGTGACAGGCACCTGTAATCCCAGGTACTCAGGAGGCTGAGGTAGGAGAATCACTTGAAACCAGGAGGCAGAGTTTGCAGTGAGCCAAGATCGCGCCGTTGCACTCCACCTCGGGCAACAAGAGCGAGACTGTGTCTCAAATAAATTAATAAATAAATAAGTAAAAATACAATGGGCAGAAGTGTTCAAAACTTATACTCCTGTTAATAAGCAACAGATGTCACTTGCTCAACATTAGTATTTTAATAGAATCATTTTTGTAAAATACTTGAAACTTTAACTAAAACATCATCAGTTTGGGTCTCTTATTGTTACAAGTTAATTAAGCAAAGGTAACTAAATCCTGCTATCCCTGCATCGTGTTTCTTGTCCTCATATTTCTTTTTTAAGTGGCATGGCCAAACCTAAAAATGTACCTTGCGATGTCTCCATTTGAATGTCCTATTATGCTTCTGAAATTGAATTTCCGAGTGTAAATGACAAGAATCATCATATTGTATTAGACTAATGTCTAGTGTTTGAAATCCCTGAAACATTTTTTTGTTGGTATAAAGCTTTAACTTTTCCTAGTTGAATTACATTCATATAAACCGAGGCCATATCTACTTTTTAAAAAAGAAATCACAAGGAAAGTACTATTAATAGCCAGATTATAATGATTTTGAATTTTATTTTAAATGTACATGCTGAATCCTTATTCTAAAGCATGTAAGTGAATTTTCTTTCTTTTATCATACCCCCACTGATTGTGCTGTTGGATACATATGATGAGCTTGATCTTGTTTACTGAGAATAAACACCCAAGACTACACTTTAAATTCTATAGAACTTCAAAAAAAAAAACTCCTTCAAATATAATAATATTTTAATGTAGGTGCATTATTTAAATTGTTGATTATCAAACTATGCACTAGAAGGAAATAATTAAAATAATTTGTGTCATTATTAATTTCTTTCTACAATAGAGAAGTGTGAAAAATAGGCCACAGAACTACAACAAAAAGCCCCAATTACTTCCATTGATGTTATTCTCAAGTCATATGATAGTTTTACACAACACGATTTAGCTTAGCCTGATTGTGCCAGAACAGGTTTTCCTGAAAGACTCACTGTGGCCCAAGTGACCTATTTTGTTTCCTTTATATGTCTAAGGCTTTTCATTTGAAATACTATACCTTGGAATGTGAAAGTGATTGACATAAATGGACATGACCTATCCTATTTCTCCTCCCTGCTCTTAGCCTTGTCACTTTCAACTCCAAACCAGTTTCTTTAGACCTGAAAATTGAGAGGATCTGCTGGGGAGCAACATTATCACACTCGCTGGCCTCTTCTCTTGCACTTCTGTTTGGCATCCAAATAAGGCCTTCTGAACTCTCAGTGCAGCTTATTATTTATTCTTCGGCACATACTTTCCCTGTCAACGAATAAAACATTGTGCTGAATTTTTTTATATGCAGTATTTTATTTTTTAAACCCTCACAAAAACCTTCAGAGGCAAATCACTCATCCAAGGACATGCCAGTGGTAATTAGCTGTATTAGTCAGCACTCTTGGTTGTGAGAAATAGAAACCAAACTTAAACTGGTGAAAGAAAAAATAGGGAGGTGTGATTTACTGACTCATATAATCAGAAACTCAGTGGCTCTTGCTGGCTTCAGATATGGCTCAATTCAAGGAACATAAATGTAGGCTCATTGGTACTTGGTTCCTTTGCATTGCCCATCACAGCTTCCCCATGTGTTGGCTCCACTGTCGGGCAAACACTTTCCCTCGTGGTGGTGTGATGACTGCTGGCAGCCAGACTTAGAGGCTTTACTCGTCATCTTCAGTGAAAGTGAGAATCTCCATTCTTAGCACTTTCCAAAAAGTCCTGGGGCTGGTTCTGATTGGACCAATTACAGTCACATAGCCATCCTTGATGTTCACAGGATAGAATATGCTGAGACGGTCAGGCTTGGGTCACTCACCTACCCTGGAATGGGGTCAGATAAGGCCCTCCCTCCAAACACAGGACTCAGTATAATGGTGGGCTGATTTCCAAAGCAAAGTGGGAAGCTGTTACCAGAAGAATGGAGAGTTCACCCAGGGTGGCAGTAACCACAGATGTGCACTACGGAGGCCAGCCAGGATCCACACCCAGGTTGATTATTATTATTGTCATTGTTATTATTATGATATCCAAGTCCATGATGTCAATATTATACTATGTCCCCTCCAGACTAAAATGTTGCCTTCTCTAAAAGTGTTTGCCCACATACTTTGACTGACATTGCTTTCTCCTCACTAAAAAGTAGCACATACATAGTCTGAATTATTCCTCTCAGCAAAAGTATACATTTTTGCAGTTGATTTCTATTTTTAAATTCACAATAATTTGATGAACATCTCAAAAGCAAGGGTCATCCTTTCCTCCTCTTTGGGATAGCCCATATGTATAGTGACCAATGTGAACCACAGCATAAAACCCTACCTATTCACAATGGTCTACATTCTGCTTCTGAATTTGGTAGCTACATCTTGACTTCCAAAGAGTAAGAACAGTTTATTTACTAATAACTCAATGAACAAGCATATTTAATCTTCCTAGGATACCACACTCTGCAAAAAATTGCTCAAATGTTTAATATCACAGAGAAATGTTCTCAAAATCTAGGTGTTATTCTCAGGAAAATAATGGTGTTTTTCACTTTCATGAGCAAGTCCCCTATCTTGTACATATTTACCTTTTAAAATATTTGTAGCTTTTAAAACAAGGAATACATTATGTTTTGAGTGGGAAGAATAAGGATTTAGATCTAGACAGGCTTGGAATTCAATTTTTTTTAGCTATGTGGACTTGGGAAATCTTAATGTCACTGAGTCTTAGTTTTTAAAATTTGAAAAGATGTGGTAGGGTTTATAAAATATTATATGTAACATAAATGCCATATACATATTAACTATTATTTGTCCTCTTTCTTCCTGAACCTAATCTGTTTTCTACCCCACATCTACTCCTATTATTTTCATATTTTCTTCACAATTTATTCCATACCTATAATATTTTCTTAAATTCAATTCAATTTTTGCTTAGCTTTATATTAAGCATTTTAGCTATGAACTCATTGATCTTATGTATTTTCAAATATTTTTATTATGATACATGAAATAAGCATGTAACCTTATAAAAACAGTTGAGAATGTATCATCTCAAAACCCCTCACACACTGTCGGTATTATGTATACCACATTTGTTGGCAGTTTTGTGCTCCTTGCTTGTAGGTTCAAATCCAGCAAAACCAATCTATTTCCAAATGCAAATGAGGGTATACATGGAGAGGGAGAAAAAGAGAGGCATGCAATAAATGAATCACACTAAGATAAGGATATTATGCTAACTATAGCCATTGATTACTGAGGCAAACCTATGTTTATCTGGTTTATCTATTTAGAAATAATTTTTACTGTAGAATGACAAGACACTTTTGGTTCTAAGAACATACAACATGTGTCCATAAAACACAGTTTGTATATGTAACGCATATATATACATGCACATACACATATGTATACACATACAAACACACATACACATGTGTGTACATATCACACACATATATATGTGCATATATGTAGATAGAGAGAGAGAGAGAGAGAAAGCTTTAATGAGGCCATAAAGAAATGCACATAATGAAGAGTTAATGGTGCACTTTTCTTTATAACATTGAATTATTCACACATAAACATTTTAATATTTGTGTCTATATGATGAGCTTTTAACAATGGCCCTGAAAGCACTCTCTAATAGTGATAAGGTACAGATTTATCTTCCTAAATAGTTAGTACTATGGTATCCCATCTGACCTTAAGAAAATGCCAAGTAATTCTCTAGAAATAGAACTATGAAATGGTAACTTCTTAGAATGATAGCTCTCTCTGTAAAGGGTCTGCTAATCATGTTCATTTCTCAGTAGAAATCAATAACTAACTATTGTTTAATTGGTAAATGCAGTGTGACCTAATCATCTGGATGAGGTTCTTCATCCAGGAGCTTCATCCCCTGGGATAACAGGAAGAAGCCTCAGGAATAAGGAATTAATTGCAGGAAGATAATGAGCAAGGTTTCAATCAGGCTGAGAGAGAGAGAGGCAATGGAATAGAGAACTGAAATCTCAAGGTTCCGATTTACCTACTTTATTATTAATTAGCACAAACCTTTAATTAAGCATGATACCAAACTAGATGCTGTACAAAAGACAGACTAAATTTATTAGCAGGGTCAGAAAGAGGCAAACTTAAAACTCAAACCTAGTCTCAGGGCTTTGATTCGGAGTCTGAGCAAAAGCAGATTCATACAGTGTGTGTGAAGATTGAAGAGGTGGCCAGGCACTGTGGCTCACGCCTGTAATCCCAGCACTTTGGGAGGCAGAGGTGGGTAGATTACCTGAGGTCTGGAGTTCGAGACCAACCTGACCAACATGGTGAAACCCCAGCTCTACTAAAAATACAAAAAACTAGCCAGACATGGTGGCAGGTGCCTGTAATCCCAGCTACTTGGGAGGCAGAGGCAGGAGAATCGCTTGAACCCGGGAGGTGGAGGTTGCGGTGAGCCGAGGTCGTGCCATTGTACTCCAGCCTGGGTGACAGAGCGAGACTCCGTCTGTATACTGAAATATTTTGATTGTCATTTCTGGCCTGCATGTCAATGTTAGGCTATAGATGGTAACAATATGCCCATGATAAGTTCTGGGCAGCCAAGGGCAGTTGACAATACTGCAGGAATATATTATAAATTTGCCTATACACCCCATAGTCAGGTTCAGTAGTAAAATAATAACATTAGACTAACATGATAATTAATTTACTAAATATTTATTGGACATCGACTAAGTTAACAGAGATTCAAAGGGAAATAAGACAAGCTCTCTTTCTTGAATGAGCTTACATTTTAGCAGAAAAGAGGCATAATAAGCAAACAACTGATGAGCAATCTAATCAGGTGCCCTGGCCATGTACAGCACTAATTCTTCACGGCAAGAGAGAGGGAGTTGGAGAGAGCTAAAGATCAGGTCTTTGCTGAATAGACATGTTGCTGAAGGATATTCTAGGCAGAACAATGTCATTGTAGAGTGGGGGCTTTTAATGGGTAAGGCTCCGAGTGTGTGCCTTAGGAGTAAATACCTGTGTACATGTAGGAGGTATCTAGAGATAAGGCCAAATTCAAGCTGGGGAAAGTCTTAATCTTTCCAGGTGACATAATCCAACTTTTGCTTGGAAAGTTAACTCTGATAGAAATAAAGACAATGCAATGGCAAGAGTAGAGATTGGGGTCAGCAGTTGAGATATTTTAGGTACAAACTGGAGCTCCAGACTGGAGAGGAGGCAGGAAGAGGTTTTGAGTCTGGCAAAGAGGGAGCCAATGGCAAGGTTTTCTTGGTAAATGTTGGAGAGTTTGTGGCAATAGCATCCAGAAGATTAAGGAAGTAAGAATGAGTAGTCTGTAAGAATGTGCTCTTCATTTAAGAAGTTTGGTCTTCGAAAGAGGCAGAGAGATGGGGATACTAGGCTTGAAAATGAGGCTGACAGGTGGAAGAAGCCTCTTTATTATTATAGGAGAGACATATAATATTTATAAACAGAAGGAAAGAGGTGACAGGGTGTCAGGATGCACAAGAAAGACAATAGCTAAATAATGAAGAAGGTTCCAGGAGAAGTAGAATGAGACCAATGTTACAGGTATCAGAGGTGGTCTTGGGAGGGATTTGAATGAGCTTTTTCTCTAATTAATAAAGGAAGGACAAATCAGTATTACTAAGAATAATCTCACTGACCTCCTCTGTTCTTTTCTTGCTTCTTTTTTGACTAAATAAATAGGAAGAAACTGTGAACTTTAAACATATAAGGCACTTGGGCTACAACATCAGACAGATATGAATAATACAAACACGTATATTTAAGAAATGAGGGAAAGTAAACAATTGGTGTGGATCATAGCTTGTGTTCCTCTTGTATTGTCAACCAGAAACACCAACTCACGTGTCAAGTCCAATTTCAACTCTGTAAGCCCCAGGAGGTACCATATTTACCTATTCTACCTCTCCATGGTCCTGAATTCATTTTACATTTTATTAAGGTTATGAGATTTATCTTCTTTATTACAAGAACTTGCAAATCCCTTTCATAAAGTAGTGGATAAAACATGAATAAATACTGAGAATATTTTACAATCAGTCTAAATATGGGAGATATGAGGCCATATCACTGATGACTAAAATGATCAAACCCTAGAAGAGAGACCATACGATCTCATGTTGAATCTGGGCTTCTTGAAAATACTAACAGGTCTTTAGATTCCAGCAGGCACCAGCCTAAGGGCTGAGGCAGCATGAGAGAGCACAGAGAATTACGTGGCACTCATAGCTCTGAGGGCTATTGTATGTCACGGTTTGCTTTAGCAATTCGATTAAGTCAAGTTCAGAGTCTTCGAAGACCATTTAACCTCAGCCCTAATTTGTTCCTCTCTCTGATGAAATTACCCATAATGCTAAAAGATAAATCCCCTCTTGATATCATCATGAATTGACTACATCCAAAAGTCAACAGAACTGACATGAAGTTTTGCATTGTCCTTTCTGAGAAACTAAGCGCTGGTATAAATCTCTAGACATGAAAAGACACAAGAAAATTATTTTTCAGAGTCTGTGATTAAACACACTACAAAAGTTCAGCCCTAACACTGAGACTTGTCTTGTAGAAGAGAGGTTTAGCTTTCCAATGAGAGGTTGTTGGAGCCCTTAAGAAAAAAATCAATTGTTATTGGAGAGAACCTTATATTTCAGCAAAGAAAATAGACTACAAGTGTTTATAGTGATATGAGAAGCCATAAATGCATTTTTGTTTGTCCTGAAACTGTAAGGAGAGAGGTTTTATTTTGCAAGAGACTCAAGATGACATCCCGAGGGCTGAAGAGAAAGCTTGACCATTATGCAAACAGTAGTACTCTCTAGCCATAGTCCTTCAGACAGGAGCGTGGCCTATTCACAGCAGAAGAATCTTATCACACTCTGAATAAAGGATGCATGTAACTTCTGCTTTCAAACATAACTCCACTGACTTACTAAGATTACTAAATGAGAATGGACATCCCTTTTTGGACCTTTTCCTGCCCTTTATTAGTAATATTGAGGTGGTTCTTTGTAGGTCTCTTTGGTGAGGTCTTTAAATGCTCCTTCCCCACCTAGGCCTTCTATTCTAATAATAATAAAATGGGAAGGCACTCTTGTATTTACTAACTTTTTATAGGAGCTAAAGTTCTCACTGGGCCATAATTGATAACCAAAACTGAATGCTTAGCAATTAAATCCCTGATGAAAATATATAAATAAAAGCAGAAATATTATGAGCTTTTTTTTGTTTTTACTAAACTTCTGCCAGGTCTTGCAATGTTTTATGAAGAGATGCTGGCATATTCTATAAATCTCAACTGGCTATTGTCCAGGATAAATTATCAGCAACTCGTTGAAAGATCTCTGGCTTCTCCTTAGGAGAGACAGGGGAGGAAGAATCATTCTGGTTCATTCCAAGTCGTGCATTATACATTAAATTAAAATATATGTTTCACCCATTTAGCAGTCTGAATAATAAAAGCTGTATACAGCTGCAACATCTCTGCTCTATGCATTTTAATGACTGATTTGTGAATATACTAGAATTATAGCTGCTATTCAAATATTTTCCTATTTTAAGAAGTCACAAATCCCTCCCTTTAAAAATGCACAGACAAACAGTTTATAATCTTTTAATAATTTCCGCTAAAGAGTTTTATAGCTTAGGATATGTGGAAATTATTTGTTTTAGAACCAGTAAATATAATGGGCTTGTCAATATGGTATTCAAATAACTGTCAAAATATTTGGAGTGTCTCCAATGAAGGGAACCTAGCTCAATTTCTGCATTCAAATGAATTCTAAACAGAAAAAAGTGATATACAGTTCAAAAGGAAGCATTAGACTATAAAGCACCTTTCCATTTCTCCTAGGAATTATGATCTACTGCTCAAATAGACTTTTAAATGGTTGCTGAGTTTTCAGAGGTTCATACTTAAATCAGTTTGAACTAGTTAAGTAGAGTCACAATTAGAATTGTAATTTCTTTTCTTTCTGTTTTTAACCAATTGTGAAGAAAACTAATAAAACTGGGAAATGAACATCTGCAACCTTTAATATGATAGTTAGGTCTTGGAAGGATGAAACAATGCTTTATTAACCTCTGGAGTTTATTTTCCCAAACATAATGCCAGTTTAGATTTTGGAGCTCTGTACTTTTTATGTGATGTCTCATAAACCATAAACCAGAAGATTCCTCTGATGGATTCAGAAAACCAGAAGATTTATATTCAACTCATAAGAAAAAAAAACCTGTTATGACGAAAGTAGCAATATCATAGCCTTAATTTCTCATCAAAACTTACAAAAATATCTATTGTTAAGCAACTAAAAGTTCACGATGCTTATGATCTGTGTAAGGAAATTCTCAGTAATTTACCATTAATTCAGATGTCCATTTTTAGGTTGGGAAAGTGTCAGTAAAACATGAGGTTGTGTGGAATCTTAAGCAGAGCAGAGGACCGGAAGTAATCCCCTTTATGTTTGTTCGTTTCAGCCTCAAATAACCCTCAGTCTCTCAACACTGCCCCTAGGATCTCATTTTACAAAGCATGGTTTCGAAGAAAACAATTTGAAGATTTTTTTAGACGCTAGAAAATAAAGTTTTATTTCTGAACGCATCTGTGGTTTGTAACACTGGTGATCCAAACTTCTTCCTAAGCAATTTTTTGCATCTGTTAACTGACCTGAATGTCTGTTATGAGGATTAATTTAGGAAAACCCATTTCAAATTATTGTTCTAGAGCAGGGGTCAGCAAACATTTTCTGTAAAGGGCCAGACAGTAGATAATTTGGACTTTGAGGACCCCTTGGGGATCCTCTCTGTCACAATTAGTCAACCTAGCCATTATAATGCAAAAGGAGCCATAGACAATATGGTGGAAACATAGATATGTGGCTGGTGGATGTTTTTCCATCGTCTTTAGTTTGCTGACCCTTTCTAGAGCAGTGATTCTCAGTTGATGTTTGTGTGTGGCGAAGAAGGCACTTTGAGAATTTCATTGAGAAAAAAGGTCAAAAGACTTTACCACTATATTACAATCTAGGCAACTCACAAAATTACACTTGTACCCCATAAGTTTATACAAATGAAAAATAAATAAATCAAACAATAAAAACACTGAGAAAATTGAATTTAAAAAATAAATAGAATCTCTACTGGAAATTTTCATCATTTTTCCTTTTGAGAGTTATCTCCTTTTATTTTTTGGACCCAAATAATACTTTGGCGGGGTCTGTAGTTCAATAAAAATTGCACAAATAATATATGAAGGCCAGTAACTATTTTTACTATTACTACATCATTATATTATATATTAAGATATATAATATATAATAATATTCAACAGAAATATAATTTGAGGCACATATGTAAGTTCGAATTTTTCTAGCAGCTGCATTAAAAAGTTTTTTAAGGTAAATTTTTATATTGTATTTAGCACAATATATCAGAAATATTACCTTTTTACCACATAGTCAATATTAAAAATTATTAATGAGATTTTTACACTCTATGTTTTGTAGCAAACCTTTGAAAGCTGGTGTGCATATTATACTTACAGTATATTTCAACTTGGACTAGTCACATTTCTCATGCTTAGTAGCCACATGTGGCTGGTGACTACCATATTAAATGGCATAGGAAAAAATCAAATAATATGTTGCTTATGCTCAGTGGATTGCATTCTGAGGACAAGTGAAGTAGGACATAGGACAGCTATCTCTTGCCCTCTAGAACACTGAACTTGGCAGCAGCCTCAGAAGCTTCGTAACACACATTTGGGGCAGTTGCCGCCAATCAAGAGAGCTGGCATGTAAGCTGAAACCTCTCTGCCAGTCAATTTAGGGAGTATAACATGAATTCTGCCACATAATTGATCATTTGAAATCTCAGGACTCATTTCGAACAGTTATTTTCTTTTATTTGCCAAACACAGGTCAAAAAGTCCAAAGCCAGGAGAGACCAGAGAGATAGAAATGAGAGAATCCAGATGGGTTGAGCACAGTAGAAAATGATGGGACCATTGGTGGCAAATGGCAAATATAGGACCCTCTTCCAAGTAAACACATTCCAAAGTTAAGCACTGTCATCTAACAAGACATATCTGCAAGACCACCACTGGCTGTACGGACCTATTAGTTTATAGTCTCTGGCCACTTACATTAAGCCTAAGGATGTGTCAGTATTCCAAAATAATTATCATTATTGGATTGCAAATCTTCCTTTCTCCTTTCATCTCCTGTTACTCCAGTTCCATTGCTGACTTGAGACATTCCCTCTGAATATTCTGTCTTCTCTCACCATACACCATGCTCATTAATCCTCATAATGATATTATGGGTTTGTGCTATTGGTGTTCCATTTAACAGGCTGGGGAATTGAAGCTCATAGATGTTAAGTAATTTACACAAATTCACATGGATCATTTCTGGCTGTACTAGGATTCATTCACAGGTCCGCTGATCTAAAATTTTGCCCATGTACGCTTCACATCTTCTTGCCTCTCATTGAACTACTTCATACAATCTCATCACTGTAAGAATAAATTACAATTATTTAAAAAATACTAAAATAACCCATGAAACTTCTTATAATTGAACTTCCTACCTACTGACTCAATGAAGAAACCTGAAGTTAATTGAATATTCTTCTCAGATTCACTAGCACTGTATTTTTGGCTTTTGCATAAAATATTTGCTGTGTGCCTCTGTTCAGCCTGCTAGTTTCTCTTTAAAGGCCAGAGTCTTTTTTCAATCAATCATATTTATCAGCAAAACACAGTTCATCTCACCAAAATAACCAGAGGACAAAGGTTGAGTTAAAAAGTTCTGGGCAAAAGCCCTTTGACCATAAATTAACAGCAGATTGGAAATTTGATTTTTTTCAAAAGTCATTAATCATAGCAATCCCTAGTAAACAGTAATAAATATTTGTGTGTAACTTCTTTATACATTAAAAATTATCAGATCAACCTAGCACCAACTCATTCTGTTTGCTGGAATTTTTTTAAAGAATATCAACGTGTTTTTTTTTTTTAAATATATTCTGTGAACATTTTGATTGATTGGAAGTTAAAAGGAAGAGCAGGCTTTTTGCTTTCCTTGGGCTTAAGTCCTGTGAGGATGTCTCCAGAACTTCAAATAAGTCCCTCCAAGGGAGAGAAAAACCCAGCACTTAGCAACATGCAGCCTTAGTGCCTGGGGACTCCCTGTCACCTCACGTTGGAAAAGTGGCTGATGAACTATGCAGATCACGAAGATTGGGTAATAAAATCCCACCACCATCAGACCAGGAAAATCTATTACTCACCTCTTCTATTAATAGAGTTAGAACTTCGATTTCACAGTGCAAAAAGCTCAGATTTATTTTGCTTACTTGAATCTCAAAGCTTGAGTGGTCTCCGATTTGGGAAATGTAAATTCTGCTTCCCTTTAAACTAAATAATACTTCTATTTATAACACTTGTCATAGCCTCTACACTCTTTTTTTGCATATAAAATGCTGCAATATATATACCTACTCTAATGTTTCTAGTAGGGGACGTTTAGCACAGTGATTTATTAGAAAATAGGAAAGAAAGAACCACGCTCACCTCTGGGGCAAGGAGGTGGGTGGGGAAACTTGCCCATTCTACCCCTTTATATATAAGAAGTGAAAAATCTGTCCTGTTCATTTGTAAATTCACTTGGAACCTTTCTTCTTGTTGAGCTGTTTGATAACAGAAACGTGCTGAGATTTTTGTTTCAAGACAATTCCCATTTCTCAGAACTCCCCCTACTTTTTCTGTAACTATCATTCAGGAAAACGGGAATAGCAGCTTAAACAGTTAATAGTCAATTCCAGCTCCCATTTTTATGAGTGAAAGACAGTTTCTCTCTTAAGATGGTAACAGTTAAATGCAAAACTAATCTAACCAGCCATTGGGTGGCACTGTTGCTCCACTGAATTCTTGGTTAAAGAGCATTTCTCTTATACTAAAAAAGGGAGGCGAAGCGAAACCCTGATTGTGCCTTAAGGAAAGTAGCATTGTTTAAATGGGAAAACTGACTTTCCCCTGTTTCTTTGATTCTTTCTATCTAGTAAACATTCTTTGACCCAGAAATGACAACTACTTGTCATTGTCCGTATTCGAATGGAAATATTAATTGTTTGATGGGTGCTACCTGGAGTCTTGTGTTGAGAAGGATTCTGAGGCCGCATCCAAGACAATGGAGAGAATGTTATGGATTGATTAGCAATATTGGCTGTGGGTATGGAATATTGGAGTGGTGACATGCTTGTCATTCTTGCTTGAGAGTACATTTTGAACTCCTTGTGCTGATGGCCTTGGTATAAATTCTGCACTTTCACTGGGGCTAGAATGGAGAATATGTGGTTAGAACAGAAAGAAAAATGTTAGAGTAAGTTAAGCGATATGTTAGACTCAGGATATTAAAGCATATTGTTCATCCCTGATAATGTGAACATGACCTGAATTATAAGTGCCCTCTTTTCTTACCTACTTGATCTAAGCCAGAGTTTTAAGATTATGAGAAAATGATGTCATTACCACAAGAAGGATAATCATTTTGGATTGGCTGTCCACAGAAGGTGAAGGTCAAAACAAATTGTTTTCATCACAACATCAGAAACCTGGAAGCCCAACTATATATTCAGCACAGAGTTAATGATGCCATGCTTATTTGATTTCAAATCTATTATGGTTTTTAAATTTACCATGAAAGAGCTATGACTGCCATGTATGTATGATTTTGCGAGTATATTAAGCTTTCTCCAGCTCTCTAAAAACCTTACAATATTCCTTGACACTGGGGCGTTTATTGAACGTGCTATGCAAAAGAGTTTTCTGTGATAATAAAAGCCTTCCATATTTGTGCTGCCCAATAAGATAATCACTAGCCATTTGTGGTTACTGAGCACTTCAAATGTGGCCAGTGTGATTGAGGAACTGGATTTTACGTTTTTATGTAATTTAAATTTATTTACATTTAAATGTAAATAGCCAAATGTGTCCACTAGCTTCTTTATTGAACAGTAAAGTTCTAGCCACTTCAGAAATTATGAACTCTGGGATTTGGAGGCTGCACAGTCTATCAAACCACATGACCTTCACACAGGCACAATTATATCCAATAGAATAGTTAAGGCTTATTGAGCATTCACTATGTGTACTGCATTGTTCTTAACATTTTACTTATTTAATCTTCCCAACAACTTATGTAGAAATACCCTTGTCCCCATTTTACAGATGAGAAAATTTATAACAAAGTGATATCTGCTAAAATGTAGATAGATGCCCAACTGGGATACATTGGTCCTGTGTGCTGGCTGAGGTTTGGTTTCTCTTTCAACTAATACTGTCTAAATGTGTATTCATTGTTTGTTTAGGAAGGAATTTGAGCTCATGGATGGAAAGGCAGAGAAAGATGGCCCTGGCCGTCTCAGGTCCTCTCTGCAAAACAAGAATCCTCTTTAGAAGGTAGTGTCATGGCCATTTTGTTCCTGGGAGATGCCTCTTGAGAGTCTCATCTTCCTCCGTCTTCTCTAAATAGCTTACCCAAGTGTTCCCTCAACGAAACAGACTTCCGTCTTTGGAGGTTTTCCAGCAAATACAATTTTCTCCAACTTACTACATTTACAGTGTTGTTCTAACATCTTTTACAGATAACGCCCTGGGTAACCGCCTGTACCTGGCTCTGAGGGGGCACACAGTTAAGGTTTTGTGGTGGCCAGAGGACAGCAAAGTTTTACAATGGCAGAAAATCAGTGAAGGTCTGCTGAAGATAGAATAATGTTACTCCCAACACCTACCCCGGAACACATGAATATATTACCTTACATGGCAAAAGAAACTTTTCAGATGTGACAAACGGGTCCTGAGGTGGGAAGAATACCGTGGATTATTGGGGTAGGTCTCACATAATCACGAAACACCTTATAAAAGGCAGACATAAAATCAGAGAGGAGAAAGCAATGTGATAATAGTGGGGAGAGAGAGGGAGAGAGAAAGGAGAAGATGCTATAATGCTATACTGCTGGCTTTTAACAGGGAAGGAGCCAAGAGACAAGGATTGTATATGGTTTCAAGAAGATGGAGAAGGCAAGGAAACAGATTCTCCCCAAGAAACTGCAGAAGGAATGCAGCCCTGCCAGACCCATTTTTGAACTTCTTACCTCCAGAGTTGTAAGATAATAAGCTAGTATTAACGTAATTTGTTGCAGCAGCAATAAGAAGTCAATACACATTCTTCGAAAGAGAGACTTTTGAGCCAATTCACAGGATTGAAGAGCATTGTGAGATAAAGTCTTAGTCCACTGGGGCTCCTGTAACAAAATGCCTTAGACTGGATAATTTGTAAACAACAGAAATTTATTCCTCACCATTCTGGAGGATGCAAAGTTCAAGAACAAGGTGCTAGCTGATTTAGTGTCAGAAGACTTGCTCTCTGCATCTAAGATGGTGCCTTCTTCTTGTATTCACATGTGTCAGAAGGTGACAGCGGGCTCTCCAAAGCCTCTTTTATAAAGGCACTAATCCATTCATGGAGCCCTCATGATCTAATTATCTCCCAAAGGCCCCACCTCTTATTATTATTGTGTTGGGGGTTTAGGTTTCAACATACAAATTTTGGGGACACACACACACATTCAGACCATGGCAGGTAGAGAAGGGAAGGGCATTCCAGCAAATTCAAAAGCATGAAGCTTCAGAAAAATCATTCAGTGCATGGGAGAGGTGTGTATCTCTGGTTGCCTGCAGTTTAGGTGACTTTCAGGGAATTAAGAAGCAGAGCTTTAGTGTCACTGCCAGAAGCACGCTGTGTGGTATAGGAAAAAGGAGGCGTCTAGTTTCACTGTTAATCACTAGTATTATAAGAGCAATACCGGGGCCAGTCTTTCCTCCTCTATAGCACAGATATACCTCAGGAGCCTCCCATGGTCTAGCTCCTTGTATTTCCTTTCCCTTACAGATCAAGAGAAAACCCCTAACTATTTGCTATAAGAAAGGATGAAGGATTCAGAGCAAAGGTCACCATTAAAAATAAGAAAGTAACTTGAAAGAGATAAAGCTACTTCTGTTACCTTAGAATTGTTAGCCGCCATTATGAAGTGAATGAGAAGAGAGAAAATTATCAATTTCATATTGGAGAAAGGCTCATAAAGGAATTCTTTTTGACCTTTATCATGTATCTTATGCTTTTATCACATATATATATATATATATGATAGCAGGATGGAGAAAAATAAAATTGGTAAAAGATTTCTTCTTAAGGAAAAGCCTTCTTTCTCCTTTTGAAAACTTTTGTGATAAGCTAGCTGTCTTGGGGGAGAAGCTAAAGTTCTGCAAGGCTGGATGCATGAGCCCCAAGCATCAATAACACAGACACTGATTTGTTCAGAATCCCTAGAGATTCGTTGGTAGACAGGGCAGGGGCTAGGCTGAGGTGAGGGAAGAACTTGCTTAGGTTACAACACGTAACAAACATCAAAAACCCAGTCATCAAGATAAATGATATTTAAATACAATATCTTAAATAAGTTTAAATTAATGTAAAAAAATACAGTTCCATTATGGAGCTTGAAGCAAATGAAAAATCAGTAACACTGAACCGATCTCTAAAGTTTTGATATTTTCATTATTATGGATTTTATATTAATTTTTATTTTAAAAATGTTGAATTCACCCATTTATCTCGATTTTTCAGTTTTTTGGCACTTTTTATCTTAGATTCTAGGTGTTCAATAGCCAGCTGCACAATAAAAAGGCCGAGAGATTCAAGAGTGAGAATTTATCACCTAAAAGTTTGCAGGTTTTCTAAACTTTATACATCAACTGAGGCGAGTAGTTACTAATTCTGCTAGCACCATTTGATGAGGAGAACAAGGCACTGTGAGGCAAATGTCTTATGTGCAATTTCAGAGCTTACACAATGTCTTCTGTTTTTAGGTCTGTGTTTTTACCATAGTTCAGGTAATTTCTTGGCTGAGATTTATTGTTTTCTTCTCTCTTTCTTTCTAATGCTTTATCTCCTTGTCTCTTTCAAGGATGGTGCTAGTTTAGTTGTAGAAGAAATTGAGAATATCTAAGTATGTAAATTTGTCACTTTTTTCTTATTTCTTCGTTTGTTCTCATTCATATGTTAAAGCAGAAAAAAATGCTGTAGTGTTAATTTGGTTTTAGGAAAATAGTTCTCAGCTACACATATCACAATGTCTAAACACAAGATCTGACAGTTTCTGGCAGAAGTCATCATTTAAATTTTGGTTGTAATTACAGTTTAACTAGGATACCTTCCACTGGCATTTTTTTTCTATGTTCTTTTAAATTTATATGAGTAAATGTATATGTATAGGTAGATAGAGATATAAAGATGGATTGGGTAGAGAGATAATAAACATAGTTCTTAACCATAATCGTAACATTATCTGTTAAATGTCTCAATTTATTTAATTCATATTTAAATGGACAAAAAACAATTGTATAAATTTATCATGTACAATATGATATTTTTAAATATGTATGCATTGTAGAATGGTTCATTTGAGCCAGTCATCATATGCATTATCTCACATGCTTATTTTTTGTGGTAAGAACACTTAAAATCTACTCTCAGAGATTTTCAAAATACAATACAAAATGTCTCAATTTAAACGAGGGTTACATTTTGCTACCAAATGGTGGATTCATTAATTAATTAGGGGCAATTCTTATTATTCATATCTCATATAGTTTTCCTCTGGTCTAATTTCTGATGTACGATTCATAAGAAGAGTAAAAATAAAAAAGAAAGAACTTTAATAGAATAGCATATGTGTCAAACTATTTATTATTATTATTTTTTTGCACATAATGAGAATGCTCCAGATGGTTGAACTCATGCTGGACATGTAATAATGAGGAACCTTTGGATTGTACCCATGAAGACACAGACAGCATTTACAGAGACTAATGAGGACAGGCCCTGTCACTGGTACATCATGGCTGTGTTCAGATGAGGACAATGTGATCATACGTCAAGGAACTGCAGAATGGATGTGCCACCCAGGAAGGAGACAGCTGAGAGGACAGGACACATCCCAAGTAGCTAACTAAAAGGCAGTGACCGGGAAAATTCACCTGTAAAATCTGCCTCCATATGTAGGACGCTGTGCATAGGGTGAGGGTGGGATGACATTCTTTTCAAAGGGAATCTTTGAACCTATGAGCAGATTGCCTTGGATCTAAAAGAAGCAATTTTAAATAGTTATAAAATGTTTATGCTTCTCTTGAAAGTTACAAACTGAGTTTGGTGTCTGGTATAGTTGAGATGTTAGCTCTTTTACCAACTAGTTGTGCCTTTGGCTAATCTACATAACTTCTCTAAAACAGGAGTGATGATAGTACTTAAACTCATAGTGCGATGGTTGAAATTCAATGAGATAAGAGACATAAAGTACCTCCCCACAGGGCAGCCAGAGCTGTATTTTAAAACATAATCACATTATATCACTTACCTAGGCACACAAAGCCCTCAAAGATCTGAGTCTTGCCTGGCTGACCTCATCCATGACTTCTCTGCCCTTCATTCACTATCTTGCAGTCACTGACTTTTTTTTTTTCGTGTTTCTTGTACACACAAATTCATACCTACAGCAAAAACCTGATGCCGACTGTTTCCGCTGTCTGAATGCTCTTCTCTCAACTGTTAATAGAGGTCTTCCCTGACTATTTAACTAAAATACTGTCCCTGCCACCCCACAATCACCTTCTGTTCCGTTACCCTATATTATGTTCTTCACAACACCTTACACTATTTGAAATTGTCTCTTTGATTCTTTTTTAAAAATTTTCTGTCACCATCCCCCTTGTCTCAATGAGGATGTAAGTTCTGTGTGAGCTTGGACCTCATGTGGGACTTCAACTTGGCATTCCCCGTGTTTATAACAGCACCTGGTAGTAGGCACTCAATTAAAATGTATGGAATGGCCGAGTGAATGAGCACAAGGCCTGTGGTTCAATCGAAGTTGGCTCCTGTCTGTATCCCTGTTGGTAACACTGCGTACACCAGTGGGATGGGGACTTTGGGCCTTGTCAGGGTTGTTCAGTGGTTCTGCTCAGTGTGATTTCTCTCTGAGGTCCGGAGAGTTAAGGAGCCTTTTGTCTCAGGATTAGGGAACTATTTGCTTTTACTACCTGGAATTTGTACTGTCACAGTTGAGCATTTGAACTTTCATGCTATTCAAGTGCTGATGCGGGTATTTGAGATCTTAATAGCAAAAGTAAAAAGAATATGTCCATAGTTCATAAACAGACACCCTATGCTTCCATTTTGCTTTTATAGCACTTCATCACAGTGAAGAGTGGATTCAGTGATGCACGAAGTTTTTACATCATCTCCGACTTGCACCACTTACGAGCTTTAAAGTGACCCCCCGGCTTTAAAGCTTCCTGAAGCAAATTACCTATTGCCACCGATACTAAAATGGTACTTCTTCCTTAAATCCCAATAAATCCCCCAAATGTTATGCAAATTGAAAAATACCCCTGTCAAAAGACTGTCAGATAACACCTCTCTTTCCCAAAGACTATTTGTAAGCATAAAGAAACATCCAGAAAGAAGTAATAAATTGTTCTAGTAGGCTGTTCTGGCAGCCATTAATAAATCAATATGAAGGGGAGTTCTGAAGGGCAAAATGTTGCTGTCGGTGGGTGTCCGATTTAATTTTGCTCTAAATTAATATTTTGAATATGATAAGTGAGCTGGCAGGAACAGATTTCGTGATTAATTCTATGGAGTCAAAAATGCTTTGATGGCACTTTAATAGCTGCTCCACTGATCTAAAAGTGCCTGAAACGGGCTCACGTGGGCATGCTCACAAATTGCATGATAATGTGGATCCCACCCAAGGAGGAGATTTACTTTTTATTTTCAAATCTCTGGCATACCTTGGGATAGACGTGTTTCATCACGCAAGTGGAGACATTTTTATAGCATTGTGAGCCATGGCTGAATGATACATGTGGTACGAGTGAGCAGAAAGTGCCGTTAAAACTCGCCTGTAAGTCCTGCCTCCCAGAAGCCATTGTAAATCAGCTTACAATGAAATCATTGCTCCTTTGAGAATGAGAGTTCCTAGAATGAAAAAAATATGTATTTCTTTTTTATTATTATTATACTTTAAGTTTTAGGGTACATGTGCACAATGTGCAGGTTAGTTACATATGTATACATGTGCAATGCTGGTGCGCTGCACCCACTAACTCGTCCTCTAGCATTAGGTATATCTCCCAGTGCTATCCCTCCCCCCTCCCCCCACCCCACAACAGTTAGGGATCTAGAACTAGATATACCATTTGACCCAGCCATCTCATTACTGGGTATATAGCCAAGGGACTATAAATCATGCTGCTATAAAAAATATATATTTCAAAAAGGCCAGAAAAATAGATATAACCTGAGCTCATGAATGAGAAACAAGAATGAAGCCCACATGTTTACTTTGGGGTCAACTCTGCCTTTAAGTTGCTGCTAGCGTGATAGGCTTCCATTATGTGAACTGGGAGGCTCCCGCTGAATTATGGCATTTATTAGCAGTGTATTGAGTGCGTCAGGTATTTTGTTAAATGTTGAGACATTAAGGAAAAAGGCGACAGACTGCCTACACTTATAGAGCTTATAGTCCTCCTTGTGAGGCAAATATTAGCTGAAGGCAGAAGAAGGGCTGAATAGAGGATTGAACAAAGGGTCTTAGGGCCATATGAGAAGACAGAATAAGCTCTGTCCAGGGACTTCTATGTTTCATCTCTTTCTTAAAGTATAGGATTTTGATGGGGGTACACAGATATTTTAAGCTGAGAAAATAAAGGGGAAAAGCCTAAAGGTACACATCCTTGGGCAGTGAAAAGTTAGTTATGGGTCCTAAGGGAGGTAGGATCATGATATACACTTTAGGAAGATTACTGTGGAAACTACGTTTATGTTGTGGATTATATTAGAGAAATATGCATGTCATCGTTAAGCCAGATTTCTGGCTACAACAAGTCATCAAAGGTCCCCTTACTCAGCACATCTCCTACAGCCAGTTTGTGGGGGAAGCCAAAAAGTTTCAGCTAAATTGCATTTTATGGGCCTGCAGGACATTAAAAGAAGCTTACAATTCATTAGACATGTGGATCTATGGATGTGAGGCTCAGAGATCTTGATTGTAGACATAGATTGGGGATCACAAATTTGAATGAGATCATGCAAGTAGAGTGGGTAGAGTGAAAAGAGAAGAGGTCTTAGGTCCAAATCTTGATGAACATCAACAATTAGAGATGAATGGGAGAAGAAAGAAGGCTTTATGAGAATTTGTTAAGTCTCTTCCATGTGAATGAGTAAAAATAATACGAGAGAAATGAGAAATCAATTACTTCACTTAGATTGTTTTGAATACAGGCTGAACATTTGAAGTTGGAGGTATACTAATTGGTCATTCAGATCTCACCAATGCCAAAGCAAACACAAAGGAAAAGCATTCCTGTGTTCTCTGTTCTTGCTAGAAGCCTATGTGATTTTTAAGTTATATGTGGTTGGGTAAATGTTTGGGCAAAAGCAGTCCTATGACATCTTTTTCTATAGGGAAGAAAAACAAAACTAAGCTTTAATTAGGTCCCTCACACTTACTTTTCTTTCAATCTGCTGACTTACGCTACTTTCTTCTTTTTGTTGCCTTTGCTGTTTCAAAGTACACATCAGCGATGCTTAGGATTATTTACTATGCATTGGCATTATACTTTTGCTATTAATATTCATTAGAACCCTGGAAAATTGATTAGTTAATTAAGTGCAAAAGACTTGCCTGAGAAGCTGTTCATTTATTCTTATGTTTAATATGCTTCATATACATAGTATCATTCACTCATTTTTTTCAGTCTCCTTCAAAGACTTCCCAACAAATTATTACTCAACAAGCACACATATTATTTTGTTTGTTTGTTTCACTGGCACTCTAAGCTGTCTAGTAGCAAATCTAATATCTGTGTTTGTAGACTAATGGGTAAGGGAAATAACCATACTCTTATGAGCGAGTCTTTTTGTTCACTTTAGATTCAGCAAAACTGAAGTTTAAAGATAAAAACTGTTTTGAGGATTAAATATTCATTCAACTTTGTCCTGCCCATTGATAATTATCTGGGATGCAGGTAACGTAGGGCATATTTTTACTCTTTAAAGTCACTATGATGATTAAAATTCTTCCATTGAAGATGAATAAATTCAAATGTTGGACTCAAGATGCCAAGCCCAGCCACCTCTATTTGGCCACTGGCCATGCAGAACCCTGGTGTCTTCAGTTTTCCAGAATTATACTTGGAGGCCCTGGCTTTTCCTGGAAAGGGCCATAAGAGACTCAAGTGTCAAACCAGAATTGTTAATTTATGATTTTGCCTGGAGAAATAAGATTGTCAGGAGGTCCAGATTACCTTCTGACTTAGAACATTCTCTCTCTCTAAGCCTTGAGATGATGTGAGGATGGTCTTTACAATCATCCCCAAAAATTGCATGGAAAATTGCTTGTGTGTGTGTGTGTGTGTGTGTGTGTGTGTGTCTGCATGCAAACTTTGTTTTTTGTTGTGGAGAGGGCCAAAGCTTTCTTTGATTCTCCAAGTCAAGAACTCATGCAATAACCAAACTGCAAGTGAAACCTAATTATTCTTGGAAGATTGCTTGACAAGCATAAAGAAAAGGGAGGTAGTAAGAAAAGTTGAATGGCACTGCCACCATAAGGTGCATCCTCCAAGGAGACAGGATCATTGTGCCTGGCAAGGGTATGCTTCTTAGCCAGACAGGTTTGCATGTGTGCTCTGAGTGGTTGCTTTTGGATAAATCCTTCTCTAAGACTTCTGTATCTGATCAAGCTCTCTTCCATTCCAGAGTCTTCCTTGAGGTATGTTGCCATCATCAATCTAGTTAAATTTAACTTTTCCAGGCCTGAGAACACTTAAAGGTAATGTTTACTACCTAGTCTGATCTATTTCATATTGATTTTGTTTTTTAAATTTCAGAGGACAATCATTATTGTCTTATTTCCACAATTTGATAGAGTCAGGAGAAGGCAGATCCTCATACTCTTGAGGTATGGGCAGCACGAATATCAATAATTTAATTTTTTTGGATTATAAGGTAGTTTCTGTTGAAATTCATATATCCCTGAGAGGAGAAACACAGCTTTAACCCACTTTATTCCCCGTTTTGAATTTATCTATCTGATCTGATTTTTTTGTGGAATAAACTTGCTGGTTGATTGTCAGTTTGGGCTTTCTATAGTCCTTCTATTTTACGTTTGTTTTCTATCTCACTAACTTCTGATACTTCAAAAAAATTCCTTCTTTGGATTTATTATGCTGCTCTTTTCTTTCTTCTTGAAATAATGTTTGGTTTCTTAATGCTCAGCCTTTCTTTTCTACTATGTGTATTTAAGTTTTTAAATTTCCTCAAAGTACAGTTTTATCTGTATGTCATATGTATTGATAAACAGTATGAGTTCAAAATATTTTCTGATCTCCATTATGTTTTTTCTTTGATGTGGATTATTTAGTTCATTTTTAAATTTCCAACACATGGGAAATTTCCAGTTATCTTCTACTTTATTTCCAGCTGAATTTCATTGTGGTTTGAGATTATATTCTGTAGAATTTTAGTGCTTTGAAAAATTTTTTTTCCTTCCAACTTTTGTTTTAGACTCAGGGGTACATGTGCGGGTCTGTTACAAGGGTAAATTGTGTATCGTAGGGGTTTGGTGTACAGATAATTTTGTCACCTATATAATTAGCTTAGTACCTAACAGGCAGTTTTTCAATCTTCGCCCTCTTCCCACCCTCCACCTTTAAGTAGGCTACAGTGTCTGTTGTTCCCCTTTCTGTGTCCCTGTGTTCTCATTATTTAGCTCCCACTTATAAGAGATAACATGCGGTATTTGGTTTTCTATTCCTGTCATTGTTTGCCAAGGATAATGGCGTCCAGTTCCATCCAGTTCCTGCAAAGGACATGATTTTGTTCCCTTTTTATGACTGTGTAGTATTCCTGGTGTATATGCAACACATTTTCTTTATCCAGCCTGCTCTTGATGGGAATCTAGGTTGATTCCATGTCTCTGCAAATGTGAACAGTGCTGTGATGAACATACATGTGAATGTATCTTTATGGTAGAACAACTTATATTACTTTGGGCATATATCCAGTAAGGGGATTGCTGGCTTGAATGGTGGTTCTATTTTAAGTTCTTCCAGCAATCTCCGGACTGCTTTCCACAGTGGCTGACCTAATTTACATTCCCACCAGAAGTGTGTAAGTGTTCTATTCTCTCTGCAACCTTACCACATCTGTTATTTTTTTGTAATAGCCATTCTGACTGGTATAAGATGGCATCTCATTGTGATTTTCCTTTACATTTCTCTAATGATTAGTGATAATGAGCATTTTTCCATAAGCTTGCTGGTTGTATGTCTTCTCTTGAGAAATGTCTGTTCATGTCCTTTGTCCATATTTAATGGGGTTGTTTGTTTTTTTGCTTGTTGGTTTGTTTAGCTTCCTTATAGTATCTGTGTATTAGACCTTTGTTGGATGCATATTTTGCAAATATCCCCTTACCATTCTGTAAATTGTCTGCTTACTCTGTTGATAGTTTTCTTAAAAGAAAGCACAGCATTTAGTTTAATTAGGTCCCATTTGCCAATTTTTGTTTTTGTTGCAATTGCTTTTAAAGTCTTCATTATGAAACCTTTGCTAGGTCTGATGCCCAGAATGGTACTTCCTAGGTTTTCTTTTAGGATTTTTTTAGTTTTAGGTTTAAGTTTAGTCTTTGATCCATCTTGAGTTGATTTTTGTATATGGTCTAAGGAAGGGGTCCAGTTTTAATTTCCTGCATATGGCTAGCCAGTTATCCCAGCACCATTTATTGAATAAGGAGTCCTTTCCCCATTGCTTGTTATTGTCAGCTTTGTCAAAGATCAGATGGCTGTAGGTGCCTTGCTTTATTACTCCTTTGAAATGTTTTGAGGGCTGTTTTATATTTTAACATGCATGAGTTTATAAAAATATTGCACGTGTGCTTGAAAACTATTTATATTCTGTAGTTATTGGGACAGTTTGTCTGTAGATTGAAAGTATCAGTGGTAATCAAATCTTCTCTATTTCTGCTGGTATTTTTTTCTCCTGACTATCAATTTCTGAGTGTGGAATATTACAATATCTTAATGTGATTGTGAATTTTTAAATTTGTAGGTCTGTTCATTTTTGCTTTATAAATTCTTCAGTTTATGATGTCAAGTGCATATAAGTGTAAAATCTGAAATCTTTCAGCTGAATTGAAATTCTGTAATTATGTGGGAAAGCTGTTCATTTCTAATTACATTTTATTTTAATATTTTTTCATATTGGTATAGTTATCCCATATTTTTTCCAATTTGTATTTAAATGGTCACTCTTTTTTATACTATTTTAATTTTCCACTATTTTTCTACTTTATTAATCAGGATAAATAGTCAGGGCATATCTTCTTTATTCAGTCTACTGATTCAAATGCTAATCTGTTTTAGAAACACCCTTATAGACACCCCCAGAAATAATACGTTACCACCACATAGGCGTATCTTAGCCCAGTTACACTGATACATAAAATTAACCATCACATTTATATTTATGTAGCCTTATATTTTAATAATAGGTTTGATTTGGACTTTTAAATCTTATTTTGCAATTTATCATATAACTGAATATTTATTCACTTAAATTTACTGTAATGAGTAATATTTGTTTATTTGTAATATTGTTAAACATAGTAGGCATTGTGTTTCAAATCTATATCTGACAATTATAGTTTCTAAATTATGTCCTGGTCTTTTGTGATATTTATTGTTTCTGCTGGTTTTTGTTCCATGTTTCCCTTTTTCTTTGGACTTAATTATCTTCGACTGCTTGATAGTAATTAATTGGCTTGGAAAATTATCTGTGGTATCCCTCAAGGCTAACGATGCATCCACATACTTCCAGAATGGCTTTGCCCTACTCTAGCCACAATCGTGAGGGCTGGGGGTTCCCTGATAATTCAGGCTATGTGTAATCTTGGATACAAATTCCCATGAAACCCCATGTGTGCCCACAGTTCTAAAAGACTACTCTCCATATATTTTTTCCATTTTATCCTGCCTTACTCAACATCAAAGCAAACATTTTTTAGCATTTGTTTCAAGAGATGATAGTTGATCCCAATAGCCTAGCCTGCCAATATTGGAAGTCAGCCAGTTCTTCTTAATGTATCAACTGTATATGAATAGTTAACAAATAAAATGCCAAGCAGATATATTTAAGGGAGGAACATGCAGAAATAAAAGTCCAGATCTGAAGCAGGATCTTGATAGTCATGATGGAATTGGTGGTGTAGGAGTGGAATAGTTCAGACTTTTTCATAAAAATAATTCAAGAAAATAGCCAAGGAAGCGTGCATTAATATTTCTGTTCCCACGGCTCACAGCAGCTCTAATATGTTACTTAATCAGCAATGAATATGATCAGAAGGGTAGCAATACCTACTAGGAATACAAACAGCTCCCTGAACCACAGCAATGAGTACTTCAGGATGTCTCCCTTTGTACATTGGATATTGGGTGCTGGCTGGGATTTCAGGTGATGGCAGTAAGCAAACGCAGTCAAATGGTGATAGAGAAGAAGGAATTCTCAGAGTCATGGGGTGCAAGGAAAAGCAAAACATGAAAGGCAGGTTTTAGAATAAGTGCTTTTCTTCAGATATTCTCAGAAAGAATGAAAGAATAGAAGAGTTGGGAACCAAAGTCAAGATAAATAGCAGGCACATTCTCAGTAGTTTTCATCCATTCAAGTTCGCTAAGTTCTAAGACAGTGCTATAGAGCTCTTAGTTTCGTTCTTTTCATTTTCCCCATTAGTCTTTTAATGCTTGGGCCAGGAATGAGGAGGGGGAGAGGATGTTATTAAACTTTCCAAGTTACTAATTATTTTCTTCTTTTTTGTTAATAAAACCAGAGTTTCATCAAAATTAAAAGTTATGCGTATGTATTTCGTGATTTCTCAACCTCAGCACTGTTGGCATTTTGGACTGGATAATTCATTACTGGGGGCTGCCCTGTGTGAGTAGAATATTTGGTACTGTCCTCTACCCACTAGACACCAAAAGCATCCTCCTCTCCTTTTCCAGCTGTGACTACCAAAAAAGTCCCCAGAGTTTCCCAAATGTCCACTGGGCTGGGGGATAGAGGAATGTGAGCAAAATACCCACCAGTTGAGAACCAATCTATTCCAATATCAAATAACTGAGTTTTTGTAGGAGCATGAAGGTTGGTTTTGTCCTTGTCTCAAAAAAAAAAAAAAAAAAAAAAAAAGAAAGTAAAAGAAAAATGAAAATCACAGGATTCCCTTTTGTGGTCAGAGAGATTGATCCAAGGAACATGTAACCTGGTCTTTTCTTTATTGTTGGATTATTGGATTAATTGGGAGGACCTTAGTTGTATTTCCTGTAAAATGTGATCCTTCCTCAAACGCCAGGCCATGTGATTGATTCATTGATTTAACAGGAATTGACTCATGGATTAGTAAGTGAAAAACACAGTACCAGATGCTGAGCATGCCCAATAGAGCCGAACATTGCATCCAGTGGGTGTGATTTCCATAATCCTCTGTTCTAGGCAAGAGGTTAAGAGAATGAACTGGGAGTCATTCCATCTGGGTTGAAATCCTGGCCTTGCCACTTACTGGCTTTGTGATTGTGACATGTTACATAATTTCTCTGAGCCTTGGTTTCTTCTTTGTAAAGTGGAAATGATAATAGTTATGTATCTCACAAGAGTGTGCTAACAATTAAGTGAAGGTTTAGTGCTAGTGGCTACTATATAAATGGCAGCAACAATATTTAGCACCTCTGCTTTTTAATCTCTTATGTCAGATGAAATTATTTGTTTTCTGTGTACTTGTAGGAACTTATGATTAAAATAGAAATGCTATGATAGTAATAATTGCTTAAATAGTATAGTAAATATAAATGTTATATAAATCATTTTTATGCTTTTATAAATTATGTTATAAATTATATTGCAAATATAACATTGGATGGTTTATTAAAAAATAGGTAAAATGGGCCAGGTGCAGTGGCATACGCCTGTAATCCCAGCACTTTGGGAGGTTGAAGTGAGCAGATCACCTGAGGTCAGGAGTTTGAGACCAGCCTGGCCAACATGGTGAAACCCCGTCTTTATTAAAAATACAAAAATTAGCCGGGCATGGTGGCGTGCGCCTGTAGTCCCAGCTACTCAGGAGGCTGAGGCAGGAGAATCGCTTGAACCTGGTAGGCGGAGGTTGCAATGAGCCGAGTTCATGCCACTGCACTCCAGCCTGGGCGACAGAACGACACTCTGTCTCAAAAATACATAAATAAAAAATAAATAGGTAAAATGTAGGGCTACTTTAAATTATTCCTAGTAATTTTGTTGTAAAATTAAAATTATATCTTGAAATGAAATACTTAGGAATATTTGTAAGTGATATTGATATTAGCATTCCATGAAAATGCTTCAAGAATTTTATTTCAATTGGCTTATTTTTAAAAATATTAATGTAGCAAAGTTACATAAAAGTCCAGGCAGAGCTTCATAAATACTTTATTTTTAAGAGTAAGATTTTTGAGCTTTTTTTTTCTTCATATGCTTTTGAAATACTTATTATCTTGAACCATAAAATCAGATAGAAAAAGGTAAATGTTTCTGTGCAGAATCTTCACCTTTTAAAAATTCTCTCTAATCTGAGCAGTGTATACCACTGAATAGGGCAAAAGATGAGATAAGCACATACCCCTTGAGGCCTCATGCTAATTCTACATTCCTAATCTCCTCAAAAGGAAGCTATTTTTTTCTGCTTAAGACTTAAAAGAGACAAACATTTGCACTCTCGCTTCTGGTTTTGACTTATTCAAAAACTGACAGTTTTCAACTTATACAAAAAAATTTGAGATATGTATATATATATGTTCATATATATGTGTGTATATATATGTTCATATATATGTGTATATATATATGTTCATATATATGTGTGTATATATATGTTCATATATGTGTGTGTATATATGTTCATATATATGTATCTATGTATTTGTGTATATACATATTAGGTTTATCTGTAATGAAATATATGTGTGTATGTGTGTGTGTGTATGTATGTATGTATGTATGTATGTATATATATATATAAATTTATCACTAATGAAACCAGAAGTTGCACAATATTGGAGTATTTCAAGAAACATTATCAAATCATCAAAGATAGCTGTGGAATCATGATGAAAGAAGATGAAAATGAATACAGAACTTACACAAAGGCAAAGTCCCTCTGAATTAGGAAACACATTCCATAAGGACAAAACCCATAAGAAACAGGAAGAATACAAGATCCTGCCAGTACATTCTGCTGGCATAGAGTTTCAAGATGCTATTTGAGTTTCAACGACAACACAAAGATATACATTTTGCAGGAAGTAGTATATTAATATCATTGAGTAGTATATCAACGAAGGATTAGGGGGAGAAATCTTATATTGTGCGAAGTGTACATTGCCAATATATGATGGCTAGGAAGAGGTAAATATGAAAACAGCTCACAGTACAATATGAGGACATATGATCTTCTGTTAAGCTGTAACATGGCTCTGGCATTCTTTCCTCATAAATTCCCTTTAAGCAGATGCTCCAAGAATTCATTTCACTAAAAGAAACCATAAGAATGACCTATAATATAAATAAAGGTTGTCTGTATTCAGATAATATAAAACTATATGAAGAAAGCAAATGGAAAATTAATAGGAATGATTTGAAGAATACTCATTATAAAAATTTTGCAATGGGGTATGTAAAAATTGTGATGAAAAATATTTGTATTTTGAAAATCATGGCATCAATTAATAGTATAAAAGAAAAATTCCAAGTAAAGTTTAAAGAATGAAAACAAAATATGTCCAGACAATCGAAGAAGATGAAATGTGAGCTAGCAGACCCCAAGAAATAAAGGGGGAAAAAAATCACAAAAATGCAGGCAGATTGGATATAGTGTAAAGAAAGATGCCATTCAAAACTCTAAAGTCCAAAGAGCCCAGAATTGAGGGAAGCAAACAAATGAAATGGAATAGGAAAAAAAAAGTTTCTTTTTACGATTAGAGAGAAATTTATAGATATTGATCATGGACAAAGAAATGCCAAGATTCCAGTAATTGGCGTTCTGGAAGAAGAGAGTAAAAATAATGGGACAGAAAATAAGTATGTATATTAACTGAAAGCTTCCTAGAAATAAAAGGACTTAAATTTACAGTTTGAAAAGGTAAAATATGTATTACAAAGTATCTAGAAAGAGTAAGGTATATTGGATTTTAATGAAAAAGAGCAAATCCATTAGTCAACCAGGCAAAAAACATATTGGGGGATGGGTAGTAAGTGATCAGATATGCCTCATACTCCTTGTGGCAGGTCTTAATTCCAGGAATCAGGAGTGCAATGTCTAAAAACCCACAAGAGTTTGTGTGACCTGATATTTTTTTGTCTACCTAAAATATCACTCAAGTATAAAGGTTATTAAAAATGTACTTAAATATGCACCAGCTCAGAGATTGTATATTTCATGAGCAGTTAGTAAAACAAAATCTCAATGAAAAACTTAAGCCAAAGACAAAATTAATGAAGAAACCATAGCAAAAGAATTGCTGGTGAGAATTAAACCCATTTATTTCTAGATTAAGAGTAAGTAAGTGTGGATATTATGGCTATAAAATAGAATATAAATGTTGTAAACTCTAACAAGATAGAAAGTTATCTTAACAAAAGTTTACCTTGGGAGGGGATAGTGGAGAAGATAGGGATCAGAATACTGATTTTCTCAATTTTTATATAGGAGGCAATAAAGAAAATGGTAGCCAAAAATCACATTTTAAACTTCAATAATTAAAATATGGAGATACACACATATTTAAAGGCATAAAAGTAAAAAAGAAAAAATTTATATACTAAAATTGGGTAGAAAAGAATTTGGAAAAATAGTATATCATTTATTGTTTATATGTAAAAGTAGTAAATATTATCTTTAAAATATATTAAGAATATTATACAAGGCTATTGTAAAAGTAAGCATTAGTATAAAGATGTTAATATAAACTAAAAAGCACCAGAAAGAAAACCCTAAGAAAAAGATAAAAGTATCCATGAAAACTCAAAGCAGAACAAAATGTTCTAACATATATATCTTAGCAATAATACTATAATTGGATCAAATTTAATCTATAAAACTATACATATATAAATATATATGTGGGTAAATATAAAATCTCAAAACAATTGCCTCAAAAGATTGAAATTTAAACAATTGCCAAAGATATACCAGGTCAAGGAATGTAAAAAATGCAGCATTGTGATATTAATATCAAAGATGCTGACTTAAGATCTAGTCCCCCACTGAAAAAAATCACTGAAAATAGACAAAGAAGGACATCATTCTATGAAATGGGATTTAATCCAAGTAAAGATTTGTTGCTTGTGAAGATGTACACATAAAATACCAAAGCATCAACATTAATATAACAAAAGTTACAAGAAATACAAATAATGCTCAAAACACATAAAGATTATATCATTTTTTCATTTGCTTGCCATACTTTTTGACATAAGAAGTGGGCAAAAAAATTAGGAAGAATATGAGAGATCTAAATAACATAAGATTTAATAATATTTATGTAATTGCTATTTGTAAGACTTTATGCCTTGAAAACTAAGAATATACTATATTTTCAAATGTCCAAATTAAAAAATAATAAAATTTGATTTTATATTAAGTCTTAAAGAAAATATGGTACACATTCTCTGATCTCAATGTAATAAAACTAAAAATTAAAAACAAACCAGGAACAAAAACCTACCAGATGAAAATTAAGAAAATTAAAACTCTCTCAATAAATTTTTGAGTCAAAAAAGCAACTGAAGATTACATGATTATCTAGAAAATAATGGTAATGAGGATTCCACGTGAGAAATAGCATAACCATGCTCAGATGAAATCTCACAGCCCCGAGGACATACTAATACAAGAAAAAAATTAAGATGAATTCAAGTTAAAATACTAACTTAGGAAATAAACAAAATAGATACAGAGAAAGAAAAAAAAGGGAGCAATAATCATAAAGGCCAAAATTAATTAGTCAAAAACTGTAATATAGAAAAGCCATTAACCAAGCCAAAAATAAAACAAATGAGAAACCAAAATAAGATGTAGAGAAATAACACAAATGCAGGTGAAAGTAATCAAATTATTTTGTTTTAGAAAAGAAATGTTTTCTCAAATCGAAAGGGCCAAAGAACAGCAACTCAAACTTCTATAGCTTTAAAATACTAAGAACAGATCTAGTAAAGCAGGTAAAATAAAAACATGTAATAAAATAGTTAAGACAATAAAACAGGTTTTAAAAAGTCACTTTTTTTGTCTCAGAACTTTTCTCTGCTGTAAGATGAAAATAATAATTTTATGTCATAGCCTTTATAATATTTTCACTTTTGTTGCTATCTGCAAATTACAAAGCTAAATTTTAATTCTTTTTTGAGACTTTTTGTTTTATGCTTATGAATAAACTGAAATACACACACATACACACACACACACACACACACACACACACACACACCCCAGACAGAAATGGCCCTTAATACCACCATTTTATGTCTGTGCTCTGCAAGCTCTTGTATTATGCCATTTCTAGGTCTGTTTGACTTCCCATATCCTGTCAATCACTCCTTAGCATCAATTTAAAAATAACCCTATCTCATAACTTCAGCACCAAACATATCCCTTCAGTATTACATATTATACTTAGTGACCATAAGTAATTATGCTGGGACAACAGGTAAACATAAGGACCTTCCTGGTTTGCTTAGGATAGTCTACATTTACACTTGTTATCCCAGCATAATTATTAATAGCTCCCTCCTTCCATTTTACTTTAAAAATTACATAATCATTCCATGTACTGTGATGCTGCTTGGAACAAAACCACATGCTGATATGCGTAAAGCTGGACTTCTAGGACCTTTCAGTCATCTGTTAGGTCCTAACAGATGACTGAAATGTTTTGCCTATGTGCTACCATCCTCCACTATTCCATGCATGGCAGACATGGTTAGTCAAGCCTGGGACTTTTTCCCACTGATCCTAAATTTACTTTCAAAATCCTATTCAACATACTATTCTAAATAACTACATTTGGTCAAGGATGGAATGAATTTGGAAATTATTTTGTCATCCTGTGTGATATATTAAGCTTTAGTATAGTATCTTTAGTTAAATGGACTTAGAGTATTTAAATCAAATTATTTATTAAGTCAGAACACATTTTAGACTTTAGGCTTTAGGAACCTAATTTTGTTATTGACTTTTGCTTTAGAGTTTTAAAATTAGTTTTAACTTTATCAAAGAATATGCATATGCTTTAAATAAGCCTCCATATAATTCATCAAGTATATGCATGTAATTGGTCTACATTTCATAAAAAATAACTGTCCCCATCCCATTCCCCCAATTATTTCCTACTCTTCATGGTAACTCTTTTTTTTTTTTTTGATATGAAGTCTCACTTTGTCACCCAAGCTGGAGTGCAGTGGCACAATCTCGAGTCACTGCAACCTCCACCTCCCAGGTTCAAGCGATTCTCCTGCCTCAATCTCCCAAGTAGCTGGGATTACAGGCGCCTGACACCACAGCCTGCTAATTTTTGTGTTTTTAGAAGACACGGGGTTTCATCACGTTGGCCAGGCTGGTCTCAAACTCCTGACCTCAGGTGATCTGCCCGCCTCGGCCTCCCAAAGTGCTGGGATTACAGGCATGAGCCACCGTGCCCAGCCATGGTAACTACTTTCAATCCGTTTAGCTCACTCCATATTTCTAAATAATGTATGTATACATTTATGTTTTCATTTTTCAATTTTAAATGTTATGAATTGATGTTCCTCCAAAAAAGATCAGTATTTCTCTTTCTATCCATTTCATCTCCCCTAACCTGCTCTACCATGTTAGGTTGTTCTTGTATTACTATAAAGAAATACCTGAGGCTGGGTAATTTATACAGAAAAGAAGTTTAATTGGCTTGTGGTTTTGTAGGCTGTACAAGCATGACACTGGCATCTGCTCCTGGTGAGGACTCAGGAAGCTTCCAATCATGACAAAAGGTGAATGGAGAGCAGGCGCATCACATGGTGAGAGCAGGAACAAGAGAGCAAGGGGCAAGGTGCCACACACTTAAACAATTATCTTTCAGGTGAACTAACTGAGTGAGAACTTACCCATCACCAAGGGGAAGGTGCTAAACCATTCATGAGGGATCTGCCGACCTAATTCAATCACCTCCCACCAGGCCCCACCTCCAGCACTGGGAGTTGCATTCCAGCATGAAAGTTGGAGGGAACAAATATCCAAACCACATCATCTATCTGCATATGTGCGTGCATCACACACACACACACAGGCTTCCAATGTTCTTTTTCTCCCAATATGGTTAAGTTATAATTTTCCTTAGTTGAATATTAAGCATTTACATTATTTGACTATGCAAATGCTATTCTCAGCTGATCTAGGTATCTTGATTAATTTTATTTTCTGGCAAATTTTTGTTTCCCTGAAATTAATTTTTATTGTTATTTATTAGCTTAATTATCTGTGAACTCATCACAAATGCAACTGCAAATTCTTCTATCAGTTGAGTAAATTTTCTCTTACTAAGAAAAAAGGCATCAGGTAATCTACCTGTTCCATGATCAAAGCAACTTCTCCTGGGACGTTCATGCTGGTAGTTCTCCAGGCGTCTCCTCAGCTGTGCTACTGGGTGCTTCATTCATGATTTCCTGGGGACAGATCCTTTTCGTCTCTTTTTGAATTGGAAGAGAAGTATATTTTCTACTTGCTTTAAGAGAATAACCTCATTTGGAGTAGTTTTGTTTTCCTTTTTCTTTTGATATAGCATATGCATATATCTGCAGAAACCATTCTTCTAACTTTACACTAAATTTTAGTTCAGCTAGTTTGAGGATTACACTTAGGGAATCTTTTTTCTTTCAGAATTTTGAAGGCATTCTGTCTTTGTTCTATAGCTTCTCAAATGGGTGTTGAAGACTCAGATTCCATTCAGACTCTTCTTTTTTGTGAAGTCTGCTTATTCTCTCCATAAGAAGGCTTGGAACACCTTCGTTATGTTCCTGGTGTCATAAAATTTCATGAGGATATTATTGTATATGTCTGTTGTTAATGTGGGTCCAAAATCATCCATTGTGCTGGTCACTCAGTGGACCTTTTCAGTGTCAAAACTAAAGTCCTTTAGTTCTGAAATGTTCTTGAATGTTTTGATGTCATGCCTTCCTTTCTCTGCTCTTTCTTTGTAGAATTCCAAGTATACAGATATTGGGCCTCTTATTCTACCTTTCTTATTTTATTATCTTTTCTATTATATTTTCCATCTCTAGCTTTTTGTTCTACTACTATCACTTCTTTTGAATCTTATATTTCTGTTGTCGTAGTAACTTATATCTCCCTTATTCTATGAATATTCATCTTTTTAAAATAATTGTTTCGCAGTTTTGAAAAAGAGCCTTCCTCTTTTATAGCAGACTATTCACTTATCTTTCTAAAAATATCAATGATGGTTTTTAATTAAAAAAATCTCTGCACAATTCTGTTTCCTTCATATTGTTTGCTTGCTTGTTGGGTTCTCTGTATTTCACCACAGAAATTTCCTAATAGCTGGTGATCCTTGACTCTGCATATTTTAATAGTAGAAAACAGAAAATGAATTTGGAACTGAGTTTTTGACTGTGATTTGTTAAATGAGTATTTAACTGAGAGTGATCTGGTTGGGCAGTTGTATTGGAGGAGACAAAATGTCAGTATTGTTATGTTTCCTCTTTTTATTGGTTAAATTGCTCAGAATAGTCGCTTCCTAATCTTCCCTATAACATAAGCATTCCAAGCATTGTGTGTAAGAAGAAAGCTAGGGCATCTAACATTTTGTGTATTAACATTTACTTAACTTTTCTTCCTTCCACTTTTTTTAGTATTATACCACCACCCCAACTGCATGTACCTAGTATTCTGTAAAAAAAAAAAAAAATTTCTTCCCTCAGAAGAGAGTAGCTCTCCCATCTTCTGCTGGAGTAGGGAAAATTCAGCAGTAAAATGCTTCATAAGCAGCGTCCTGGTTTTGGTATCACTTTCCACTTTCAGAAAAATATGGAGCAATGAATTTCTGAGTTTTTGCAGTTGTGAGGTAAAAATTTGGTTGCTTCTTAGATTTCCTCCATAACAGCTTAGTAATTAACTCTGTGTCACTTACCACTCATACACTTGCCTTCTAATCCCTAGAGTTAGGTCTGCTTTCTCCTTTCTTATTATCGTTATCTTTATGGTTGTAGGCCTTGAAATTCATTTATTGTCATTCTACTGGGTCTTGGGAAGGGAATAGAGATAAAAATGTGTAGTCAATCTGCCATCTTATCTGTAAATCTGTATATTGGTTTTGAAACTTCTTTTTAAGGGAAGAAATCCCTTCAAAAATACAGTTGTATAAAAGATTAAACAATAAAACAGATATAAGTAGAGCTGGTCTGTGGGGATGAGGTGTAGGCATATCCTACACCTTTCACAGGTTCATAGCTTAACAACCCCCACTCTTTTCCTTACTATCTCTGAAGGACTCCATTGTGTTGAATATAATTTATACATTTGAAATCAACGATTTTCAAAATGAAATTTTGAATTCAAAAATGAGTTAACAGATCACCTATAATCTTAAAGAATTTAAAATTCAGTAGGACTAGTAAAATAAGCACAGACATATTTATAATATATGATAGAGTAATATCATTTCATCAAAGAGTGAAAAATAAATATGATGATTTAATTCCTGTGACTATTTGATTAATAACAATGACTCACATATCATAAGGGTATTTTTAATAATAATGAAAAAACAGCAGCCTATAAAAATATCCTTTATTCCTTGGTAATATATTAGTATATCTACATCTATATCTCTCTGTATATAATATTACATTGTAACGTATGTTGTATTACATATATATGCAATATATGCTATGTATGTTACATAGTGCCATTGCATATTTGAATCTATATGTAGACGCACTAGCATGGTACCAAGGAATAAAGAAACACAGTCAATAGACACAGGTTTCTTTTTAAGACATTAACCTTAAGTTAGTTAAACAAGACTGGAGTTAAGAAACACAACTTTTGGCTATTAGTTAGTTGGATATGTACTGACCCCAAATAATACCAGCTTAAGCAGAAAAACCATCTGATCCATTCAATACGTTATCTTCAGTTTCCTTAGGTAATAATCGACTGCATAACCACTTTCTGTACTACTTGTCCAGTAAATATCAAAGTTCTTAGACTATTGTAGCCGTGACATCACATGTAATGAAGGGCATTGTTCAATTTCATATGATAATCTCATAATTCTTACCTAGTTATTTATACCACAGATGGCCAGATGACTTGGTAATATATGAGAAAATAAGCTGCCTGAAGATATTAAAAATGGCTTATTTCTCACAGAGATTCATTCTACTTAACCACAAAAGAAAGCCTATTAATTAGACTTTTGAATCCCATTAGGAAAAACAAATACCAATACTTAACTGCTCAAATATGACATGATGGAAAATTGCTAACATAATTAGATTTTTAATAGTGTTAATGACTCTTGTATCTTATTAATAAGAATTAAAACTAATGTAATATTATATGAAGAAAAATTGCCACTGTATGCTCTTCTGCAGGGAAATGTAGCACGAGTATGTCTATTTCCACATGAAGGGGTTTTAATTTTTATTCCCTTGCAGTTGTAATATAACTCACATGTTCCTCAGCATAATATATTATCCCTGACATTATGTGACAGAAGGTCCTACAAGTACACCATTTAGGTCTGCAGTCTCATTAGATATCCCAAGTCAAGCATGATGTTGACTCTGACCATAAAACTACCCATATTAAAGCCTGAAATGTCTTTTTCTTGCCCTCTTTCTCTACCTTTTCACAAATGATCACTCCTTCAAAACCTTGTTTCAACCCTTTTTGATTTTCGCATTTATTAGCTAAATTATATTCACTGTTTATGCCATATAATTTGTCATTTTGGCACACTCTCTCCCTCTTTAGTTATTCTATCAACATAAGCATGTTTTATTGTCCAGTGAGTATGTCTCATCAATTAGTTAATACATTAATACTCATTTAGCATCTTCATCATGTTGAAGTGTCACCAGAGGCATAATCCTTGTATTCAGAGCGGGTGTTTATTTGTTCAAATGATATGAATGTTTTAGAAAGTTTTCTTTTTTAGAAACTTGAAAGTACAATATTCATATTTCTATGAATCCCTTCAACTAGCTAAATTCCCCCTTCTAGCTGCCACAAAGATAAATGGATTCTGGTTTCCAAACCAGGAACCAAGCAGAACATCTGAGAAAATAGCCAATATTTGAGATAGATGGCTTGCCAACTCACTTACAAACTTGCCAGATACATACAGATTATAAAAGATTCAATGGAAAGACTTACGATAAGACCGAGACTGTATTTGGTCTCTCTCTCTCTCTTTGTACTGGTATGTAACTCTATTGTGATTCTATCAGCAAGAAGACCTCTGCTACTCAAAGCGCTCCATGGACAAACAGCACTAGCATTACCTAGGAGCTTTCTGGAAGTGCAGAACCTTGGGTGCTATCCTAGAGATTCTGAATCATGATCTGCAATTTGATGAGATCCCCAATTTAATGAGATCCCCAATTATTTTTATGCACAGTAAAGTCTGAGAAACAATGGACTATGTTTGCTAAAATAACACAGACAATATTATTACACTAAGACAAGGGGAGGTGTTGGTGGCTGTCTTAGTCTTTTGAGCTGCTGTAACAAAATGCCATAGACAGAGTGCCTTAGAAACAATGGAAATTTATTTCTTTTGCTTTTGGAGCTTGGGATGTCCAAGATTAAGGTGCTGGTAGATTTGATGTCTAATGAGGGCCTTCTTCCTCACAGACAGTCAATCTCACTCTATCTTCAGATAGCAGAAGGGGAAAGAGGCTTCTTTTACAAGGGCAGTAATTTCATTCTCTGCCCCCATAATCTTATCACCTCCCAAACGCCCCACCTACCAACACCATCACCTTAGAGGTGAAGATTTTCACATATGAAATTTGGGGAAACACAAACATTCATTCCTGAGCAGTGGTCCTGCTCAGGCCAAATCTAAAGTACAGTGTGTATCTGAGAGCAGCCATTTAGGCAGTGTTATTAGAAGCAGGTTATTTAGGAATAAAGTCATCGACGTAATGAAGTAACTTGAAATCATGTAACAGTGGTTCTCAACCCTAGCTGCACATTTAGAATTGCCTACAGAGCTTTAAAACATACCAGTGCTTTGGCCCCACCTCCAGGGATTCTGATTTAATTTTTCTGGTAAGTTTCTTGGGCCTCAGGATTTTAAAAATTTCCCAGAGGATTTTCATGTGTAGCCAGGGTTGAGATCCACCAATAAATTATGAGAAATGCTGGAGAAATTGGTTTAATTAGCTTGAAGAAGAGAAACCATCTGTGGATAGGATGTCTTCAAATACCTATAGGGCAATTGTAAAGATTTATTTTGTGTAGTTCTACAAAACAGGATTGGACAAGAGAGGCACTTAATGATTGAAGATCAACCTAAGAAGAATTTTGGTAATTTGACCTGTATGAAATAAAATGGGCACCCTTGAGGGCACATGGTAAGCTCAGGAAGAGACTTCACAACCAAAGGCTCTCAGCAACACCATATAGAACCCTCATTCATTTAGCATAGGGTATTAGGTCAGTAGGGTATGGGATTGTCAGACTACATTATAATAGAGTAATAATAAATACATTTAATGAACACTTCCTGTGCAGGGAACTTTACATGAATTACTATGTTTAATCCTAACCACAACTCTATGAGGACAGTTCCTTTGAAATAGAGGCTTGGAAAGTTGAAATAAATTGCTCAAAATTACAGTTAATGAGTAGCAGGAACAGGCTACAAACTGAGGTTTGTCAGACCCCAGATTTCTTGATCTTAACCTCATACAGATTCTACAATGATGCTCAAAGAATACTTCCAGCCCTGAGATCCCATGACTCCTAGACATGCCATGCATTAATCACGGTTTTTTGCTTGAAGACCAATTTAATAGCCAGGATGGCTTATCTAAACAAACTCTTATAAACGTTAAAGAATATATTTTTAAAGTCACTTATTCAAAGCTTAGAAAATAGAATGTCATTGAAAGAACAAGTCTGGGTTAAAGGACCTAGGATCTTAATTGAAATAAATAAATAAGAGAACAAGTAATAAAACCAGGTAATTTGCAACACCAACACATTTTGTTACAATTCCTCCCCCCACACCCCGTTGTAATTGAAAGCATATTTGTTTTTACTCTCTCCCTTTTTTAAAAATTGTAATCTATGTTAGTATTGCAAAACTAATTATAAGTCACCCAAGTGTAACCAAGGAGAGCTGAGGGCTCCTGAAATAGGACAAAGGGAATTCATTAAGAAATAATGTTAAGCTTATGGTTTCAGAAGGTCATTAGAAATGCAAAACCAGAGAACACCATTGCCTGAGCCGATATCAAATCCAATCATTTATCATTCCCAGGGTTCTCAACATGGGGTCATCATCTGGGCTCCTTAACCCCCAAGCAGAATGACAGCTAATTTCTACCTCATGAGTCTAGAGTTAGCATGCCATCTTTTATCAAGGATACAGCAGCCTTTTCTTCCGTCTCAAGATATGATGCCCAGAGTTCATCTTCAGAGGCTGGCATTCTAGGGACTTTCCATTTCAGCTCAAGTAGACATAGCTTAGGTCTGAATTGAAGTCATTACCTCCACTCTATTTTCTCTGTGAAAGGATACTGTGGGCTGGCTTTGGCAACCTCTCATATGAACACTTCTTAATGTCAGGGCAGGGTGTAAACATCTGTAATCAAAAGGTAAACATTTTAATATTGTGTTTCAATAATTCCAGATACTCTTATTCAGAGACATAACATAGACCATCATTACATATGGTATTTTTTAGGTGTATGAGGGGGTGGGAGGACATTGGGTTCATCATCATTTTCTTAAAAAATAGTTTCTTCTCAACAGTCTGGTACCTCCATCACTAAGCTGCAGAGGCAAAGAAAGCAGCAGATTTTTTTCTGTAAAGAACCAGATGGTAAAGTTTCAGACGTTATGGGTCATACAGCCTCCATCTCAGACACTCAACTCTTCTGTTGTAGTGCAAAGCAGTTGTAGACAATATGAAAACTAATGGTCATGGCTGTCTTCCAATAAAAATGTGCGAATAAATGAATTTTAAATTTCTTATGATTTTTTCATAGCACAAAATAGTCTTGTTTTTGTTTATTGTTTTTCAACCATTTAAAATGTCAAAACCATTTCAACTGTTGGGGTATACAAAAACCAGGTGACTGGCTGGATTTTTCCCACAGGTCTTCATTTGCCTATACCTATTTTACTCTCCACAGTACTCTTTAATTTTGAGAAAAGTAGATTTCTGACTCTATCTCTACATTGATTATCTGATTGATTGATATCCGGCTGCAACCCATATTTCCTCCCAAAAGACTTCAGATACAAGAGTTGGTGGAATACTGCTGACCTCCCATGAGGGTGCTCTTGTTTTGACTCCTGGCCAAAGCAACAGGATATACAATATAGTAAATGGCTTTAAAGTCTGAGGGCCTGAGTTTGAGGCACTCCCTAACCATGTGACTACAAAATTACATTTCTGACTCTTAGGTTTCTCATTGGCAAAATGGGAATAATGATAATAGTAAAATGAGAAGCAAAGAAGATGTTCTCAGTAAAGGTTCTTTGTTATTTCAGGAGTGCTATAGTCCCTTGCATTTGCAATAATAACAATTTATAATTATAGTTCCTCATATAGGCTAGGCATTGATCAACGTTCTTTACAAGTATTGATCCACTTAATCCTCACAATCATCATATGAAAATGGATACTTTTGTTACCATGATTTTAAATATTTGGATACCAGGGTTCAAAGAGATTAAGTAATTTGCCCATGGTCTTACTGCTATCAGGTGACAAAGGTAAGGTTTGAACCCTGAATTCTTATTCCTGAGCACACCCTCATCACTATTGCCTATTCTCTTCAATATCATGATGTAGACATGTGCCATACACTGTACTACCCATTTCACATACACGATGTAACTGAATGCCCACAAATATCTCATGATGTGAACATGGCAGCTTACTGAGTGTGCGGGCTCTGGACTTGGGCTTAAATAGTTCGGCTTTCTTCTTCCCTACTCTGTGACTTTGAGCAAGTTACTTACCATTTCTAAATCGCCTTTAATTTACGATCTGGGAATGATCTTAATAATAGGTACCTTTGAGAGCTTTGTGGAGAGCAAATGAAAGAACACATAGGACATATTTAATATGGTCCTGTTTTATAGTTTTGTGTCTGCTAATTCACTCACTTTTTCATTCATTCGTTTATTTCTATTTCTCCCTTACCCTCATAGAGACAAAATTTTAAGTGTGCTGTTGAATAGTGAAGTTAATTTAAAATTTAATTAATGCAATTACTCATTTTTTCCCAAAGTGTAGTATATAAATATCTGTAGGTACATTAACGTGGTGCCACACAATTAAGAACACACTAATCTGGAGATTCAGATTTGAATAGCTAGTTTCATGTTGTGATACATGCCTGAAAACTCAATGACAGCATGCATGATATTTAAAACAGTTTGCTAATTTTGACCTTGACAGATGGAGTATTTGAGTGATGTTTCCCTTGAATCTGAGCACTAAGTGTATAGTAGAAGCTTTCAGTTGTCTTCTACTTGATGATGTTATTTGAAAAAAAAAATTCCTATTATATAATAAGAGTTTTAACATCATATATTTTGGACAAGGTGTCTGTGACATGACCAATCCTAAAATATATGGGAAAGCTTAAATGTATTCCTCAACATCTTTCCATAGCTTATTTCTTAAAATGCTTAGAGATTACTACATCTTGGAAAAACATTTGGAGAAGAATATTTGAAAGACAGATACTGGTAGGTAGAGAAGTATTTGCTATGAGACCTAGCTAACACTACGGTACTATTTTGCAAATTTTTATTTGAATAATAGAATGGGGAGAAAATTTAGAAGGATGTAATTTATATTTATCATTTTACAAATGAAGAACAAAGAAGCATAAGTCAAATAACTTGCCCAAGTTCAAACAGGCAGTTAGAGAAAAAGTAGGACTTGAATCCAAGGATCTCATTTCCTAATCCCAGTTGCTTTCTGCTACTAGGTGCTTTCTTCTGCATTTAATACTCTCACATGTTTGCAAGCCCTCAGCATTTCATATGAAGATCAAGGTAAATGTGTATACCATTAAAATATTTTAGATCCCTGATATAAGGAGATACATTAGATTTCTTTCTACCACATTTTATAAAAGCCTTTATAAGGTATAATGCAGGTGTCTGCTGTTTTTATGAGCTTCACACTATCAAAGAAATTTAACCCTCTCTTTACTTATATGTTTGCTAATTGGTGGGAAAGATGGGCTATTTCAACTATTGTATTTGGCTTCATTAAAAGTGACACGCCTAAAGAATACTAATCAAATATTTTTCCTGTATCATCATTTGGCACTTGGCAACTGGTTCTAGAGCTGAAATTTTTTATTCTGTTTATGGGAAATACACTTTTAAGAATCTGAATACCAGCCGGGTGCAGTGGCTCACGCCTGTAATCCCAACAATTTGGGAGGCTGAGGTGGGCGGATCACCTGAGGTCGGGAGTTCGAGACCGGCGTGGCCAACATGGTGAAATCCCATCTCTACTAAAAATACAAAATTAGCCAAGCATGGTAGTGCATGCCTGTAATCCCAGCCACTCGGGAGGCTGAGGCAGGAGAATTGCTTGAACCCGAGAGGCGGAGGTTGTGGTGAGCCGATATCACGCCATTACACTTCAGCACTGCAGCCTGGGCAACAAGAGCAAAACTCCGTCTCAAACAAACAAACAAACAAACAAACAAAAAACAGTTTTACCATCTGACCTCTTTGAGATTAGCTTCTACCAATTGCGGGTCGCCTGTCTAATCACAGTGCTTATGCCAGATTGCATGAAGGAGTAACAAGGGCAGGCTTGGAAACAGTGAGAAAGAAAAGTATTTTGCCAAGACAATGGATAGTGAGTGAGAAAAGAGGACCTTAGATAGAAAATTGCAGGCATTTACAGGTTATTCCTCAAGGGAGTGGTGGAAGTTATTGTCAAGGAGAGACAGCAGACTTTGGACAAGATACAAATATTGATCCTTTAACTGAAACAGTGACTGAACCTGTAGTCTTGCTAGTTACAACAGTCACTCTGAGCATTGAGAATTCTGATGCTGTCTCCGGTGTTGTAATTTCAGATTCTGAAACTGCAAGAGGAAGCATCATTAGGAAATATAAAAGTGAGACAGATTAAAGGGAATTAAATTGGGAGGCTCAAGTCAAAACTAAACTAATACATAATGCATCTTTGGCAATATTATCCCTGATTTTTTTCTTTTCAAAAATGTGGTTTTCGGTACCTAGATTTTAATAGCTAATTGGTTTAATTTGTTCATCACTGTGCCTCTTTATGCACAACATAAATTAAAGCAGGGTTATTGTCATATTCCCAATTAATTTGGCCAAAATGGATAGCTGCATTGGATGATCATTCAGGCCAGAACAAACCCTTAAAGCTCTAGCTGTTTTGTTTGCTGACTGTATAAATAACAATGCAAATAAATTAATATCTTGGAGAATAGACATATCTATGTTTTTTTGTTGTGTCATCCAATGTGAAAAGACACAGTAGTATTTCTGATTAGCACACATCCATGCTTTCCTTTACATAGTACTTATTGGAAGGTTCCTATTTCTATAGCTCTGAGATGTATTCTATGGAAGGCACAACGATGAACATAATGAGAAATGAGGCAATAGAAATAATTCAGTAATTCCGATAGAAGTTAAATATGATAATGAAAAATACACTATTATAATCACAAGCAGAGTGAATATTATGTAATAAAAGGTTCAAATTTCAGTAAAGGAAGCCTTGGCTTGAACCCAGATGCTAGGAATTTCATTTCTACTTTGCTGCTCTCTTTAGTGAAGACACCTCAATTTTCCACATTCTGCACATCTTGTGGTTGGTAGGAGATGCTGACATTCTTTAATTCAACATGTCCACTGTTAAACTGTTTATCCACCTGCTTGAGAAAACCATCTGTGCATGAGACTCCTGCTAACGGACTGGTCTCTTTTCTTACCCTGCTCCTCAAACCTTGTACTTCTGTGAATTGGCTCCCGCCTCAGTCTCCCTTTCTACTCCTACTCTGTCAGCTGCCTCAGGTGCTTCAAACATTTGCATGGCCACCTATTTAAATTTCTTACCTTCTCTCCTCTAATGACCTTCATTTCCATTTCCTTTGACTCTATTAATGGCCAAATCCCTAGGTAGTATAATTGCTCAGAGATGTCTGATCTCTGGAATCTTAAAAGGTTATTGTTTCACTGTAACCTCTCAGTCTTTCAATTTCCTTAGTGCCTTGATGAGACAACTTCTACCTTTTAAATTCATCACAACTTCTAGTTCCTAGGCTCTACCTACCATTAATTTCTTCTCTAGCCCTTCTAGACCCCATGATGCATCACTTCAGCACCTCCACTGCCTGGACACTCAAACCTCTTTCTCATCTGACCACAGTCTAACCTTTTCCCTACAACTCAACCAAAATTGCCCCTTCTAGGGCCACATTCAGTAGACACGTTAAAATTCTTATCTAACTTACATTCTCTGCATTATTTAACATTCATGATATTGCCTATATTCCAAAATTTTCTCTACCAGATTTTTTTTCTGCTTTTGTCTCTCTTTACTGGCTTTTTTACCCCCTCAGCCCTTCTCATGGGATCCTTTTTTTTTTTTTTTTTCGTATCTGGGTCACTTTATCTTCTACTTGTACATACTCTCCTAGTCAATCTAGCCTACTGGCACAACTTCAACAGCCTAAAAATTAATTACACATAGATACACATTCTGGCCTTGGTCTCTGCACCCAACATCATTCCAATCAACTGCCATGATATTCTCTATAGGTATGTCAGCTACATCATCCCCCAGAGAGAATTCATCATTTTCCTCATTCCACTCCCAAATGTGTCTTCTTCCTATATTTTCTATCAGCAGGAGTTACTAAGATCCAAATGTATCTCAGGCTGTGAACATGAAAGTCACCGCAGATTCTTTTTTTTTTTCTACCTCTCTCCACATTTTCAGTGTCAAAAGGCCCTATAGAATCTCCCTGTCCATTTCTCCTGACTTTGTCTACTTCTCAACTCCCACTCACTCAGTTCAAGCTCTTATCTTCTGCTTAAAATATTGTCATAGTTTCTTAAGTTATCTCCCAGCTCTAACATTACTTCTGTCTACTTTACTGGTTTTTATAAAACTAATACATAGTCATTATAAAATTAATACATAATTACTACATAATTTTGTCTATCCTTTCTGTAAATGCAACAATACCACCATGTAGTCAACAGAATAAAAATCCACACTTGGCATTATCACATATAAAGACCATCTTTTTTCAGACTTTCATTTCTTATTTGTGTCACCTCTTGTAGCTCCTGCCCCAAATACAACAGATTCTTAGTCACGGAGAAAAATAGAATGTTCCTAGAAGGGCCATCCCATCTCCAGTATTGCACCAAATGGGCTCTGGAATAAGATTCCCTGAACTATAATCCAACATCTTTGACTCTGGGTTTACTGTTTACCCTTTAGAGAGATAATAATAGTAACATGCCTCATGGTTCATTGGGGGGATTAATGGAGGTGACCTCCTTTAAAGCACGTTGTACAAAGCCTACCTTGTCATTGTTCTATTAGAGTAAAGACAACAAACAAGGCAATATCTTCATGTCTTCCTCAAAGGTGTTCTTTTATCATGAAATGTCCTAATTAAAATCAGGGAAACTCAGCTCACATAACTTTTTCTTGAGAAAGTCTTCCATATTCAATACCTAGTGCCTTAGGTTCTCATTCTTCTGTTCCATATTCACACACACATGTGTGCATGCAAGCATCCATTATTACTCTTGTCACACTGTAATATACGTATTGGTTTGGGTTGTCATGTAACCCCAACTAGACAGTACTTAAAGTGGAGATTTGCATCGCAATCATCTAGTACTTTACTAAGCACATTGTAGATACTTGACTAAATGAGTATCAGCATAAGAAAAAAGAATAGCTCTTTCAGATAGTCTAAATCAATCTGTACATATGGGCTACACTTGAATGTAACATCATACTGGGTGTGGTGGCTCACACCTGTAATCCCAGCACTTTGGGAGGCCAAGGCAGGAGGATTACTTGAGGTCAGGAGTTCAAGACCAGCCTGGCCAACATGGTGAAACTCCATCTCTACTAAATATACACCACACCTGGCTAATTTTTGTGTGTGTCATAATACGAAATAACATTAATGAACAATTTGTGTTATTTGATACTTGACCCAATACCTTGCTTGGGTATTTCTCTCTTGGCAGAAGAAAAATACTGCCTGAATGATTTTTTTTGTCTCGATGCTGAGATTTTCTGGGAAGCACAAGAACCAATGTAGTTGAAATGGAATGAGGTAGGGGAAGAGACACATCTTCAATACCTTTGTGCTCCTGTCTTTACACTGGTCCTTGCTTTATGTAACTTTTCACAAATTGTCTCTAGAAGTGCAGATGTCAACTAAAAGGCAGGCTTAGTTTTAATATCCTCTTGTCATTCTATTTTCTTTTGTTAAATTGAGAAGGAAGATGAGAAATCAGGACAGGTTCTCTATTCTCTCATATGGTATATCCGGCAGCTGGAGAATAGCAGTGGTTGACAAAATGTTCAGTTAATTGAAGCTATGTAGTGGATATTGATGATCTTTCTACATTTAATGGAGAAATAAATCTGCTGCTAGAGAAAAAAATAAAAATGGCTCTTTGGCTGATATATGTCCACACTAGCCTCTTCAGGCAAATGAAAAAATAATAATCACCTCCCCAGATGTAATATGTTAATGCTTAATTGTGCTCTACAGAACATCTCAAGTTTAAGAAAAATAACAGTGTAGCATATTCCTCGATTTTTAACTGTTAGATACAATGAAAACATAGTGAGATGAAAACATTTAATTCACACAGTAGCCTGTTGGTGACAGCAAAGTTACACAAATTTCAGCATGGAAACATACATTCAAATAAGACTATTTAGGCTTTCAAAATATTGTAAAATAATGGAAAGTATGAGAGATATTATTAAATGGGGCCATTATAAATACATTTCAAACACTCTGGTTATTCCTATTTATACATGATTCTGGACCTTTTGAGGCTTCAAACCTCTAATGGTTTGGATAAATAAAAACTGTGGATATTCCTATAATATTTCCTGTTCCTTTCAAAGAAGGGAAGCATTAGTAGCTCAGAGGTAATTTCATTTGTAAAATAAAATGACTTCTTAATAAAAATAAAATAAATGAATCTGAAAGGCTTAGGCATTAATTGTACTAAGCCCATTATAGTATCTTTTGAAACTCAGAAATTCTCAAAATTATCTTACATTCTTAAAATTTAGCCTATTTGGAAATACTGCTGTACGTTTAATCAATTTGAAAATATTTATTTACCTCTTGTTTCTCATTGAATGAGACTGATCAGTTAGGAAAATTCCTGCCATTATTATACTCTATATCAAATTCAAGCATTAGGCTCTGAGTTACAGGACTCAATACTATGTGCAAGTATAAATTAATTTGATTGGCTTTAAAATGTATGATAGCTAAAAACTCTGTGCATTCTCAACTCTAGTCCGTTCTGCCTATAATGACCTGTTATATTTCCTCTTTATGTAGTTTCTCTCCACTGTTGTCTCCAATGTTCCCTGCATTTAGAGATACTTTCCTTCACATTATTCCTTTTGTTCTTTCCTTCCTCAAGAACATCAGAAAGTTCTTGTCTTCATGCTCAATCCTTCTTTCCCGTTGTTGAATCCTGTGTCTTAATCAATTTTCTGTGTAATAAGAAGCAACATGAATCCTCTATGAAATGATCATAAAGAAATCAAAGGTAGATTTCAACTAAGGTTATAACTCTGATTGTCAGTGGTTTCCTGGATCTCTATGTTGAGAAGGATTCTGAAACCATGCTTAGTCTCAAAGGGAAAGTCCGCTATAATCAACTACCCTATTATGCTCTGCATGTATAGTTTAGGGTGGCATATATTATCCTAATCATAAGGTTGGTCTAAGGCAGTGGTCTTCTAACATTATATCAAAAACACGTTGAGGGCTCTTGAAAATACAGACTGATAGGCCCCACCTCCTAGGGGGTTTCTGATTCAGTATATGTCGGGCATGATCCAAGAATTGTGTTTTTTACAAGTATGTAATTTATGCTGTTGCTGGAGGTCCAGGGACCACGTCACACTTTAAAAATTACTGATCCAGTGCAGTGTTCATCTTCTTTTTTTCCATCTTCTCTCTCTCTTTCTCCTTCTCTCTCTCTCTCTCTCTGTGTGTGTGTGTGTTTGTGTGTGTGTGTGTAGTTTTTCTTAACGTAACTGAGTATCAGAATACCTTGAGGACTTAAAAAAAACTTATAACTGTGTTATACCCTAGAATTATGATTTTGTACATCTGGGGTTAGGCCTTTGTATAAACATTTATACTTTTAAAATTTTCACAGGTAAACTTGCATAACATTCATTGAGACTTATTTCCCTAAAAGTAGGTATACTATCTGTTTACAGTGATATGTACAATGCCACCATGTACAAGGGTTTTATATTAGAATGATTTGATAGTATAAGGAAAAAAGCTAAATCAAAACTACGTTTTAAATATCAGCATAACATCCTAGAAGATGCCATGAAGAGCATTGAAGAAGAGAATGGAGCACAGATTTAGTGAGTGGATAGGGTTTGCCTTGCTCCTTAGAAAAAGTGAGCAACCAGATTAAGAGGAGAGTAAGTGTTTCATGTAGAGAAAGTAGTGTGCTAAGTGGGAAATAGCATTGTGGCTTACAGAAATTGAAAATGTGGCTGGATCATACTGTTCAAGATAAAAGACAAAATTTAGGGGGAGTATTGGAATCCTAAGTCCAGAAATACAAGTTGGGGCTATGTCATGTTGGGTCTTGTAGGCTATGTTAAGAAGCCTAGGCTTTATCCTAAGAGCAATAAAGATCCACTTAGGAGTATCATGGCTGAGGAGTATCATAGCTAAAATTTCATTTTAGAAAAAAAAATTTCTGACTACAATATAAAAAATAATTTGGAAGCCAACATATTTGGAGAAAATGGACAAATTGTGAGGCTATAGCATTAATTCAGGAAAGGTTATAGAGGTTCCATGAAAGCTCAGATATGTAGCTTGATCATCAGTGTTTTTCCAGAGCTTATAGCACAGTGCCTGGCATGGAGTGGGTATTCAAAAGAACTTTCTTTAATGAATGATTGATGGAATTAGAGAAGTAGAAATGGGGCTTGAGATAACTGGACAGATTCAAATTCCAACAACGTTTATTGAATGGAATTGATCAATCTGTGATTGTGACTTTTTTTTTTTTTGAGAAATCAGGAAGAGGAAAGAGGTAACAAAGAGTAAACACATACATATCTCTTCTATTTGTTAAAAAGAGGCTGCCCTCCCTACCCCACCCTCCGCCTCACTTCTCCCTCTCTCTTGCTCACTTTCTTCCTCTCTCACTATGTAATTTGTGTCCACACCAGCTGTCCTTCACCTTCTGCCATGAGTGGAAGAGCTTGCGGATTTCACCAGATGCTTAATATTATGGCTAGCAGAAACATGAGCCAAATATATATATATATATATATTTTTTTTATAAATTACCCAGTCTTGGGTATTACTTTATAACAACACACAATGGACTAAGACAGATGGATAGGGAAGAAAGATAAATATGTTGGGTGAAGTTGTCAGAGAGAAGGAGAAGTAAAGGGGTCGAAGACACAGTAGAGCTCAGTGGTGTCAGAATAAGGACATGAATAATTGCTATAGTTGAAGAGTGAAACACAGAGGATAGGAGGACATGGAGACTGGGGAATTTTGAATTTAACAATTTGCATTTGGAGGATATTTTGGGGGAAGATCAAATTATAATTTGTCTACACTTATGTTAACTAAACTCTCAACTCTGAGGGCAAGGGATAGTATTATAGTCAATATTCAATATTTATATCTTGTGTTATTTACCTTGTTCATCTCAATGAAAGCACTTAACAAATTCAACTGGCTTTTCCTCTCTTCAGACCCTGAATTACTCAGCATCTAGAGAAGCCAAAAATATGTGAGCCTTTCTTTGCTCTTTGAAAGGTCATAACAGAATTTTTAAGTGGTTACTTAAAAACCAATCAGGGATGACTAGCCCTGATGATTCTGTCTTCCTGAGTAAATTCTCTATAGGATTTAACACAATACTATGTGTACACAGAAGAGTCTATGTGATAACAAATATTTGTACATTGCATAATACTTTCTTAAGTATTTTCTCATATATTGTGAGACGATTTTCAGAGAAAACTTTGTAGTGGTATGTAAAGTATTATTGCTATTCAACAGATAAGGAAAATGAGATACACATTATTCAAGGGTCTTATTCAAATTTTCAAGGTGAAATAATGGCCTAGCAAGGCAAACAGAGCAGACCTCCTAGCTTGTGGTTCAAAGCTTTACCCACAAAGATACTTTTTAACATTGTAAAATAAGTATCTTCTTTTGCTAGTTCCAAAGGAAGTTTTACTTTGGTTATTCATGTTCCTGTTTTTGAACTAATTGAAAACTAATTTAAAGCTAACATACTCTCCTTAAGCTGACTTTACAAGACATTTTTCAGAAAACCTATGGTTAAATCTAGGTGTCTGGGTTTCTCTCTCCCTTAACAATAATAGATAAATGTATTGCTGTTGTAATTTATTGGTCAGCAACACCAAGTGAAAGTAAGGTAAAGGTGATTTATAATTTGTAATTGTGTTTCTTTCAATTCGGAAAGGAAAGGGATTCTCCACTCATACAATGTGAGAGGAAAAAAGAATAAACACAGATAGAAAAGCCTGTGTCAAAATGCCAGAAATGAGCTGAACTGACTCACTAGCTCTTGAATTACCAGCAAATCCAACCCATCATTTCTCATGCAATTATGTTGAACCCCATTTCATTTTCTTGTGATGAAACAAGCTAGGAGGTCTGCTTTGTTTGCCTTTTTGTTGAATTGGAAAGTGTTGAAATAAACATTACTGTCATTCAGTTGGATTTCAAGTTATTTAACTATTCTAACAGCATTTGCAGGCAGGTTGCAGGGTAAGTGTCCATGGTTTGCCAGTTCAGTTCAACACGTCTCTGAGGATATCACAAACTAGGCTACAAGACAGATACAGATTTATGATAACCATCCAGATACGTGAGGAACCAGAGACTATAGGAAGTGCTTAGTTAGACAGCAAGAAAATTCAGATGTTTTAAATGTATAAATATTTCTGTGATTCTCACCTATGATCTAAACTCTGCTTGGTCATGAGTTTCATACACCATTAGGATATTAATGTATTTATTCAAATTCATTGGCTAGAAGGTTAAAGTGGGAATTTCCAGGAAAAAAAAACCCACGATGATTGGGGCCAACAATCTACAGATGCCATTCTTGGCTATGGTGAGACAGTCAGTGAGTCAAATAAGTTATCAGAACATGATTTTGTATTCATTCAACAACAAAAATAGCTATTGGACATTTTCCAGATCTCAGACACTGCAGTATACAGTGTGTTCAAAACAGATAAGATCTTTGTGTTGATAGAAGTTAATGGCAGTCTCTGGCCATTGGGCCTTTTTAGCTTATCTGAATGATAATGCTTAGAAAATAAATTATAAGCACCTTACTACTGGCACATTTTACCTTTTGGAAAGCATCTATTATTTCATTATAAGACCTAAATTTGACGATTTTTCCCTAGCATTTTAATAGGGATTCAGATGAGTCCAAAACCAGAAAACACAAACTTTGAGATTGTATCATATTATCAGATAGATAACATACATAAATTCAACATTTTGGGATTTCACAGAGAATATGCTTTCACTGATTAGGAAAAGCCACACAAAGCTAACTTCAATGTTAACGACATTCCACAAAATGTAATAGTCCCCGTACTTTTGCACATAATATTCTCTCTTTGTCATGACCTTCTTTATTAAGACGCTACTCTGAAATCACCTCTATGAAATCTTTTCCTATATCTTAGATAGAATTAGTTATTTCCTGCCCAGACCTCAAATTCTGTAAGAATAGTTTTCATTGCAGTGGTTAGTATAGTCCCAGTCTCAGAGCAGCCAGCTGAATGAATAGTATATGTACATATTTTGACATAGCACTGATAACATGGTATTATAATTATTTGCTCACCAGCCTACCCATGACATTAGACAAAGTCCCTTATGCATAGGCCAAGGAATACTCATTAAAAATATTTATTGATGCACAATTTATTAAAGTATAATTTGCATACAATAATATTGACGAATCTGATGCATTTTGACAAATGAATGCAGTCATGTAACCACAACACAAATATGAGATACAAACTTTCCATCATCCTGAAGGTCTACACCTTTGCAATAAAATACCCTACTCCCATCCTCATCCTGGCAACCACATACCTTTTTTCTATCACTATACCTTTTAAAAATTTCATACCAATTATATTATATAAAAATATATAACTATATTTAATACATAATGAATTCTATTTATTTATATTCCATTTTATACAAATGGAATGATACTATCTATCATCTGTCATATACATTTGTGCCTGTATTCTTTTACTTAATATTACACGTAAGAGTTTATTCATATTCTTATATATACCAGTAGTTTGTTTCCTTCCATTGCTCAATAGTTTCTAATTGTATGGATATGTCACAATTTGTTTATACATTCATCCATTGATAGACCATTTGTTCTGCTTCCAATTTAAGGGTATCATGAATAGAGCTGCTATGAACCGTTCTATTCATAGCAGCTGAAGAGAGTGAATACAGATCTTTGGGCAGACATGTTATCACATGGGAAGCATATGATTTACTTTACAAGAAACTACTTGTTTATAAAATGGCTTACCATTTTGCATCACTGCCAGCATTATATTTGAGTTCCCATTGTTTTCCATCATCTCCAACACTCGCTAATGTCAATGTTATTAATTTTAGCCATTCCTAGTCAGTATGAAGTAATATTTATACATTCTTGTGGCTTGAATTTGAATTTCCCTGAACTAATGATGTTGATTGAGTACCTTTTCATATGCTTATGTGTTTTACATCTTTTTTTGGAGAAAAGTGTAATGATTTTTTCCCAATTTTAAAATCAAATTGTTTGTTACCTTACAATTATGTTGTAAAAGTTCTTTATATAGCCAAGACAGAAGTTCTTTAGTAAAGATATACATTTTTTCCACATCCAATCCTGTGTGAGATATATATATTTTGCCAATATTTCCTCTCAGTATGTGGCTTGCCTTTTCAATTTATTAAAAGCATGTTTAGAAAAGCAAATTTTTTCATTTTGATGAAGTCTCACTTATCAATTTTTTTCCATCATACTTTTAAAAATCTTAAATTGTAAACCAAAGTCACAAAGGTCTATATTTTCTATAGTATTAGAGATTACATTTAGGTCTACAATCCATTTTGAGTTAATTTTTGGATATGATGTTAAATAAAGATTAATAATATTTTATATATAAATATTCAGTTGTTCTAGCAAAAGTTGTTCTAGCAAAATTTGTTAAAGACATTATCCTTTCCCCATTCAATTCATTTGCAGTACTTCTTGGAAATGTATGTTATCTATTTGTGGGTCTGTTTCTTAACTCTCTCTTATGTTCCATTGAAGTATTAAAAACTTACCTCATTTACCTGAAAGCAGCTGTTTACTTCTCTGCCTTTCTGCTGCAGCCATATTCTTAGTTCCTTAAGGTTAAGGGTTAGTGCCTTAGTACATCTGAAAGTATGGATGGATAGATAGATGGATGGATGGATGGGTGGGTGGATGGATGAATGGATGGATGGATGGATTTTTTTAAACGTTGCAAAAACCTGATTACGTATCTTAGCAGGACTGAACAATTCTAGTAGTTGTTATATTCATTGCATTTCCTGTGTGTGATGGCATGGATTATCACTATTCTATTTGTTTTCTAACTCTGTCTGTTGAGAGAGCCTAGAAACAACAGCATCCCATTTATAATAAACACAGCCAACTTCCAGATCTTAGTTTCTAAAACCATTCCTCAATGAAAGGGACCAACACTCCTTGGAGAAATGGTTGATTTTAGGTCCAGGGGAGTGGATATTCAAGATAAAACATGGGGCATGCTGTGGAGCCAGAAAGTAGGAAATGCTTAAAAACCAAAATGATGTAACCATGTCAAAGGGATACAGGAACCAACTAGAAGAGCTCCTAATGGCCAAAACTGGAATAATTTGAACAGAATCTAAATAAATAATATAGTATTAGGTTATAACCCTAAGTGTAAAATAAATGTTCATGAGTTAATATTGACATAACTGAGTGATTGAATAAATAAGTAAATGGGAAAGAGTAGGGAAGTCCATGCAGAAGAATGACAAATAATTTACATGGATACCTGCCCTTGAGGAAGTGGAATATAAGTCCCTACTTTTTAAGTGCTAGATGCACAAACTGAATTTTTTTCAAAGAAATATAGCATGGAAGGCCCAGAAAAGAAGAATTTTATAGTTGAAAAACCTGACAATTACTAACTCAGCTAGTTGATAAAGGTTAACCTCAAAATTGTTAAGTCATGTTGACAGCGTGTATCCTTGATATAATATGATGAGAAAGAAGCTTTACCTCTGTAAGTCTGCTCCCAAACCCATATTCCTGTCTAACCATGAGAAAAACATTAGAGAAACCTCAATGGAAGAACTGTCCTACGAAATACCTGACCAGTATTTATCAAAACTGGTAAGATCATCACAAAAAAGAAAATTTCATCTGGGAAATTCTAGAGAATCCTAAGGTGACATGATGCTTGAATTATGTGGTAGTAATAATAATATTAGTAATAATAATAATTGGTATTCTAGATGGGATTTTGGAGAAGAAAAAGGCTTTTGGGTAAAAAGTAAAGATATCTGAAAAAAAAAACTTTAGATAATTCTAGATTTGTTCATGAGTTTTGACAAAAGTACCATAGTAATGAAGGTGTTAATAATAGGGTAAACAGCATGAGAAAACAGGAAATTCTGTAATATCTTGGCAACTTTGCTGTAAAAATGAAACATTAAATGTTAAAAATAAAGACATTTCAAATAAATCAACTAATTATAATGTGTAGACTTAATTTGGATTCTGACTCATAGAAGAGCATACATATGCATATGTGTCTCTGTACATGTACTGTATGTATAAATATAAAATATGCAAAGTATATATGCATGACAAACATACACAAACAACTACATTATTAGACAAAGACAAGCAATAATTAAAAATAATTCCTCAAATCAGTTTTCAAGTTTTCTGATCGTGTACACATATACATATACACATGCTATCGTTTGGTTTGTTTCAGCCAACCAATTCTCACATTGGAAATTTGATCTCCAGTGTGGTGGAGTTGGGAGGTGGGGCCTAAAGGGAAGGGGAAGGGGCAGATCACTCAGGAATAGACTAAGGATCTCTCTGGGAGTGGGGGGTGAGTGAGTTCTCACTGTATTATTTCCTGAGAGCTGGTTGTTAGAAAGAGCCTGACACCCCCCTTCTCTCTTTCTCTTGCTTCCTCTTTCACCATGTGACTTCTGCACACATCATCTCCCCTTCCATCATGAGGGAAGGGAATAGCCTGAGGTCCTAACCAGATGCCCAATCTTGAACCAAATTAGAATAAACCCTATTTAACTGACAAATAACTCATGTTTATAATAAATGAAAGAAATTTTAGAAAACAATAAGATAGAAAAATAAACCATTTTTTTTAATTGGAAGAAATTTAAGAGACCCTTCACAAACGTAAATATCAAAATAGGCAACAAACATATGAAAGATGCTGTCTTATTAATCAGTAAATTAATCAGACAGGAAATTAAAATATCATTATAATACCACCACATGCCTACCTGATTGGTTAAAGGAAAAAGAAATCTGACAGCACCAAGTGTGATGAGAATGTAGAACAATAGGAACACTCACATACTACTTGAAATAGAATCGATTGGTACTTTGGGAAACAATTTGGTGTATTATCATTTGTAATGGCCAACCCCTGTGCATAACCCAAAGATTTAGCTATAGTAAACAACTATAAAACTTGTGATATGTTTGAATAATAAAATATGAACAGAAATGAAGGAACTATAGCTACCTGCAAAGGCATTGTGTAGATCTTAAAAATATAACTGTGAGCATTATATATTTTGAATGTCAATATATTTTAACATTCAAAAGCAGGAAAAGTTAAAATAGATTGTATAAGCAAACATAATTATATAGACTACTTTCTAAAAGACAAGGAGATAAAGAGCACAAAATCAAGATATTGATTATAGGTGGGAGGGAAATCATTACAATCAAAGGGTATATAAGGGATTCTGGGCTACAGGGGCTATTTTCCTAACCCAGGGAATGTTTAGAGGGATGTTTCATGTTTACAACAATTGGCTAAGTTTTAAATTTATTATTTGTGCACTTTTATATATATACATTTTATTTCATAATCGTAAAGTGGAAAAATAAGAATTCCAGAAAGGAATTGGAGCCAGAGAATTTAAGAAGGCTTTCTGCAAAGTAGAATAGAGAAATGTGATGGTAGCTAGAGGAGTCCAGAGAGTAGATATTTTAGGATGTGAGAAACTGTATCATGCTTTACATTGATGAGATTTATTCAGTTTCAAATGAATGTAGCCAGGGAGGTGCCAAGGCTTAGTTTTATACATCCCCTACTAGGTTGCATAAATATGCAAATGACACGACACTCTGAAGTCGGTGTTGACACAGTCTTCTAAAATGCTGCAACTGTTTACGTGGATATGGTATATTGACATAAATCATCAGTAATATTTTGTTATTCTTATGTTTCCCCTCCATTGTATGAGTAACCCAGAAGTATAGACATGTGATGGTTATCTATCTATCTATCTACCTATCTGGTTGTTCTGCAGCTGTAGCATGTTGTGTCACTTAAGAGCTGAGTAGATGGAATGGGGCGGTGAGCCACATGGAATTCATTTCTATGGCAGAAAATGTAACCACGTTGCCCATAAATGGATCCTCCACCCCTCAATAAATGAGAGTTAGTTCTGCATGAACTGTTTTCATTTGTTAGCAAGATGACTTAGTAAAATCTTTCAAAATGAAGAGAAAATAAATCATTCCCCTAAGAAAGCAACATATTTTAAGAATGAAAATGTTAGACCTTCTCATTTCTTCTCAAATTCTTGGTGATCAACAGAGTATCTGCTGTATGTTTCCTTTGTTCTCTCATTCTGCTGTAGCAGCTCATTCTACACAAATATTTATAGGCTTGTAATCCCCTTTTTGCCTACCTCAGTGTAACCTCCTCCTTATTGTCTTCTCTTTATTTAACTAGTCAAAATTATTTCTGTCAGCACATCTTCTCCTTCCTCACTACATCGATTCCACGTGCATTTAATTCCTTAACAGTTCTTAATAAGTATTAATACTGAAATATTGCAAAATTTCTAGCGCTTTCCAATTTTTACAATACAAACCTAAATATGAATCTGTAACTGGTATTGGTGAGCCTTTTTAAAGTCTCTTTACTTTAAGGTTTCCTGGACTTAAAATGTTTGACTTTCATTTTAACCTCTGTGTTTTATAATGTTTTTTGTCGTATGTGTTCCTCTTGATATAATATTTGGAGAGATACTACATTCCGTCTTTCTTCTCCAATATATCTGCAACACGGCTTCCTTTTTTGCTAAGAAGATCTCAGTGACATTAACAATAAGATGTCTCTTATTTGTAAAGAACCCCCCCCTTTTTTTTTAATTGGCTTGGTTATGATGACCACAAAGGACAACAAACCTTTATCAGAGTAGCAAAACTATTTTAATCTTAATCACATGGGCAATTGTGAATTCATGAAACATGAGTGTTACATTTTTTTAAAGGAACAGTAAATTTTCCAAGAGTGAAATAATTACTCACAAAGATCCTTTAGAATAAGAGTTGGTGCCTACAAAGAGGCAAAGAGCATTTCCAAAACATTAGCTACAATATATGTTTGATTACACTTTGGCAGCTTTATGTTATTAGTCAGGATGTAAACAGAGCAAAACTTGATAACATAGAGAAAATAATGCAACTCAGTAATAATGAATTTGTTAAAAAATCAACAGGTCTTTGCCTGAAAATAGTGCAGGGATTGGCAATAGGTAGCGGAATTACCCAGTAATTATCAGAGCAAAGGGGCATGTTAGATTCCCTCTCTTTGCATTAATATTGTCTCTTTTTGCGAAAGAACTTCAAGCAAGCCCAAGTGAAATAAAGTAGATTTTTTTAAAGGATTTCTTCCTTTAACCCTCCTCTTGACTCTCTAGTGAGCTGACTAGTAAAATCTAAGCATGGAAATAAATTCCAATGGGGATGAATTGATCCACTACTGACTGAAACTAAAGTCACTTTCACCACTTCAGCAGATTAAATGACTGTTTATTGAATTTGGGGTCACTTCGCAGAAGCTGTTTGACCTCAGGTCTTCTCCATCAGCCTCTCCAGCTGGCTGACAGAATCCCAGAGAAAGCCAGAATGGGAGTTGTTTTTACCTGATGGTTTACACAGGGTAAACCAAGATTGCAATTTTTAAAAAGCCTAGGCTTTAGAATCAGACAGCTGGTTTTAAATCCAGGCCAATTATATCCAACATTATGACCTGAAGCAGTGACATAATCTGCCTAAATCTGTTTTCTCTTTATTAAATTTGAATCTTCTTCATATGAAATATTATATGGAAAACTTCTAACCCAGTGCCGGATGCAATAAGAATAGTCAATTTCCATTGTCTTGGTTTTTTGTTGTTGTTATTGCTCCAATTTCATAATACAAAATACATATTCTTCCTGTTGCTGGGCTAAACAGTGTCCCTTTCGGTAATAAACATGAATTTTGCTTCCTGTAGTTAATACCCTGATTAGTGAGAAACACAAAATGCTTCCAACATTCAGTCTAAATGTTTATCTTCTTGCCTTAGCCTGAAAGACTAGAATTAAGTCCAACTTCTTCTCCCATCTGCTTCTGGTTCTCTATGCTGTCATAGGTATTGCTATCTGGTGTGTCAGAGCCAGGGTAACACATCCAAATACTCCCCTAAAATAGACCTGACATTACTTCCACTTATCTCTACGTCCCAAAGGAAGAAGTTATTTTCTCCTTAAGGCCTTCTTATGATTTTATTGCCAATTATTCCCCATTACACAATGAGCTTGATCGGCTTCCTGCATCCCAATCCAGTAATTATTATGGATCAATGCATTAGAAAATGTTCTGACATGCAACAGCCAAATAGCTGCTTATGATGACGTCATCTCCATCTTCAGTTTAGTATGGATATTTTTCCATACACATTGCAATGTGAAAATATGTAGCCATTCATGTGACCACTACTTTAAGTCCAAAACCAAAATACCACACAATACATTTATTGCATCCTATTAATGTCAGTACATCTTCATATGTAAACTGAAACTACAAATTCCCAAGTGATCAGCATGTACTTCCCTTCTTCCCATTTCTGTTGAGCTGGAAATGGAAACCATTCCAATAATAATCAGTTGCATAAAAGCACAACGTATATTCCACAGCTACAAATCAAAGTTATCACCCTCTTCTTCCGATGTCATTTGTTCCAGGCAAATGTGAGTAGGGGGTACTTTGCTGACTGTTCTTCATTTTAAATTCTCTTCTTCGGGATGGATTCTACCATTTGCCCTTCTTCCTATTTAAACTCTCTTGGGATGGGTCTCTTGCAAGGAAAATTGCTCTATTCCTGCTAGAAATAAATAGTTTTAATTTTACCTCTTAATCTTCATTTTCACTTTCATCTTGAATTTCCCATTTACAAGTATCTGACTAAATTGATTTGATGCTTAATGCTTGCCAAACAAATAATGAGGCTCTGAATGAGTCCATATGTAATAAGGCAAGGATTTCATTACTCCCAACATTGCTATAATCAGGCAGTGATTAAATTATTTCTAAAATTCTTAATACCAATGTGAAAATATGCTAAAGACCCTGAACAATTTAAGCCTTCCCACCATGTTTTGTATCATACATTTCTATTTCCAGCAGTTTAACAGGATTTTGCCGGAATTGGCCTGTAAGGGTTTATGCTAATGACAATGGAACGAACTCATCCACAGGTGTCCCTCTTTATCTCAGCAACATCTTTAAATTCATTTATAAGTTCCATGGTAACAACCCTAAGGACCACCAGCAGGAATGCTGATTAACACTTACTAGAGAAAAACAGACTTAAATAATCAAACAATTTGCAAATTGTGGAAACCTAGACAGATGTTCAACTCATGGTTATCTTGTGGGGCAGGAGGGCGGCGCTCTGTACTGAAGAAGTGTCTGCCTGTTCTTCTTCGTTCTTGGGTAGAGAGAGGCTCAGTTATGTCTTCCAGTCAAGGACACTCAAATCTGTCTCTGGCATAATGGGCATTCCTTCCATTTTGCAGAAATCAGGATGTGCCCATTGCATCCAAGGGAAATACTTAATTCAGACATCTGAGTTACATTTGCAGTACATTTGGAGTCTGACAATAACAGAACCCAAGGAATGATTTGCAGCTTTAATGCATGCCTGCAGGATGGTGATATTGATGAGAAATCTGTATTAGAGCACCGTGAATCATCATTAAAAGGCATTTAAAATTGGCTTGTAAAATATGGTTTTTGCTGCACTCTATGCACTGTCCTGGAAAGATAAAGTAGTGTATTAAAATGATAATATGGATGTTAATAGATATGAAGTCTTGGCTACTCTATTAGATCAGAATGTGGCAAAACGAACCCCTGCAGTTTACTGTCAAGGTTAGAGGTTCTGTTTTTATTATGGAATCCGTAGGAGGCATTTGTCAATGGTCTGGAGCCAAAATATAACTTTTCTGGCCACTAAGCTAGCCAGTGGTTCAGAACTTTAGTTTAAAAGGACGCGATGTTCTATAACTATTTCTGTTGCCTGTAAATTCCATTTGTGGACTTATTATAGGCAGCAAGACTGTTGGATCTGGACAACAAGTAATTTCAGGCTGTGTGAATTCTTAATGTGAAGACTTTCTGAACACCGAACCCCCCTCAGTTTTTCAGTATAAAACAGCACAGAAGTTTGGGGTGGGGAGGGCCAGCATGGGGGAGTAGTGTTACTCTGGTGTTATTCTAGGGGCTATATCTAGTGCATTGAGATATTTATAATTCTCACTGCAGTCATTGTACATCAAGATAATTTGTATTTAGTGATCAACCTAGCATTTAGTATGTAGCATTTATCTTATTAGAGCTACCAATTTAATTATATATGAAAACATTCAAATTAGCAAACATATGAGGGAAAGCTACTTGTGCATGGAAGAACATAGGCCTATATTATGGTTAATGTATTTATTCATTAATATAATCATTTTGCAATTTAAGAGAGTTTGGTTCTACCAAAGTATTTTGCTAATGTGGGTTAAAATGCCTGTAAGTTTGGATGAGTTTCTGAGCTTTTTCCTGCTCTATTTACATGGTTTTCAGTATCTAATTCTTCCTTCTCATTCATAGTTGTTTAAGCATTTTCACTTCCTCCAGAGTATCTATTTTGAAATTTTATTCAGCTGGAATATGTTGCTGATTATCATTAAAATATTTTTTTCTAGATTAAGTGGTATTTTTAATATATGTATTTTGGGGCATACATACATATATAATAGTCTTAAGGGATGCTAGATGTCAACATCTTGTCTAACTATAATGTGGCTTCAACAAACAGTTGAGACAAAATCCATGGGGAAGTAGAGACTGGTCACATAACATTTCATATTGTGCTCCCTTCAAATTGTTAAGAGAATGTTTTTCTTACCTTTGATATGGTTTCGATACTTGTCCCCTCCAAATCTCTTGTTGAAATGTGATCGCCATTATTGGAGGTGGGGCCTGGTAGGAGGCGTTAGGGTTATGGGGGAGGATCCCTCCTGAATGATTTGTGCCCTCTCCATGGCAATGAATGAGTTCTCACTCTATTAGTTCATGTGAGAGCTGGTGTTTTACAAACCTGGCATCTGTCTTGCTCACTCTCTTGCCATGTGACCCACCTGTTTCCCCTTCACCTCTGTCATAAGTAAAAGCTTCCTGAGGCCTCACCAGAACCCAAGGAAATGTTGGTACTATGCTTGTACAGCCTGCAGAATCATGGGCCAAATAAACCTCTTTTCTTTATAAATCACCCAGTCTCAGGTATTTCTTTATAGAAATGCAAAATGACTAATACAACCTTACAAGGTACATCTATTCACTTTGTCTATCAATTGGCTACTCTTACGTTTTATTCAATGTGTCATTTAAAAAAATCATTCTCTGAGGCTGAACTGTATCAAAACCAAAACCTGAATTCTGTCAGAGATACTAACTTGTTTCTCTTCCATATTGACATTTGTATACACCTTTTTAATAAAGGATCTATTAATTTGTTACTCTACATCCAGAGTATTTACAGGGGCATTAATTCTTAGTAACATCACACTAGTGGAATAAGAACTGAGTCAGTCCAGGAGACCTAATTTATGGAACTGAAGCTTTCTGCAGCACTGGAGACTGTATATTTTCTTATTTCACTTAATTTTTAAAGTTCTTCTTCCATCTTAGTGAGTGCCCCTCTAGGTGTTCCTTCTCTTCCCTTATAGGACAATGTTCTCAGGATCCTCTCCCAGTCTCTCGCCTTCTCAGTCTGCAGTCACTCCTCACCCACAGGGATAACTGGTGATTCTCTTTTCCTGACTTCTGTTATGAACTGAAGATACTTTTTTTGTTTTAATTGATACATAATAGTTGTACATTGCTTTACTTAGAAATCTCAATGGTTCTCAAATTCAATGAACCCCTGATTAAATTAACCGTCTCTCTTCTCCATGACTCTGTTTCTTCCCTCACTCCTTATCGCAAAGCCTTGTAATCTGTATCCCCTAACATGTGTAAACCTGTCTTCTGCCAATACCCCATTCTTTTGAACTAGCCTGGGTCTCATCACCTCTTGCTTGGACATGTGCCTCAGTTTGATAACTGATTTCTGACCTTTATTCTCAATATTTTCTTGGCTCTCAGTCATATACGCCTATAGTTATCTATGTAAAGTGAAATTTTTTAGTCCTTATTTTTGACTCTCTATAGCTCATGACAGGATTGACTTCTTTCTCTTCCTATTACTCCTTCCTTGGTTCATGGAATAATACTTTCTTTCACTTATCTTCTTACCTCCCTCCCTGCTCCTGCCAGGACTTTTAATATGTTCCTATGGTTGTCAATTTCATAAACGCTGAAATTGAAATTGATGAATTCAAGCTCCATCTTCATTCCTTATTTCCTTTCATTCTATTTCCTCAATCTTGGGCAATTTCCAATACTCCAAAGGCTTCTGTGACCACCCCTTTTTAGTAAATCCCAAATCTATATTTTCTGTCTATATTGAATATCAACTCTCTCATAAGTATCTGTCTCTGTTAAAGTATTCTGTGGGAACGTTCCTTTCAGCTTAACACATTCACAACTGAATTCATCATTTTCTTCCAAAGCAGAGCTCTTTCTTCTGAATTCATCACCGAATGAAAACATAGTCAACCACTGGGCTTGCCAAACCAAAAATCTTGGCATTATCCTTAACTCCTTGTTCTTCACTTCTCACATTACCAAGTCCAGTTCCTTCTACTTCCTAAATATCTCTCCAAGCTATACCCACTACCACTATCATAATTAAGATACTCAACCTTTACCAGGATGATTGCAGCAGGCTTCTACAAAGTGGAACTGATTTCTTTATCTTTTGTTTTACCCCTCAAGCACTTCTCTCTATATATATATGTAGCTAGAGTGATCTTCCTAAGATGCAAGTAGGATTATGCTGCTTCTCTGCACAGACCCTTTTTAGATACCCATTACCTTCAAAATAAAGTCTAAACTCCAAAACATGTTTTAATGAGCCCTTCACATAATGATTCTCTCTTTCTTTCTCTCTCTGCAGCCAAGTATCTTACTATTTCCCACTTTCCACTGTAAGTCCTTGTCATACTGAACACCTTTTGGTGTTCTGCATTCCACATGTGTTCTCTCTGCCTTGGTACAATAGGTTTCTATATGCCACTTTCTCTGCCTAGTGCACTCTTCCACCCACAATTCCTTAGCATTTTACTATGTTGATCTTTCAAGGCTTAGTTTAGAAAACACTTCTTCTGGAGCTCTTCCTCTGACCTTGCCAAGACTTGCTTAGATGCCTTTTTACTGTTCTCACAAAATACCTTCGACTTCCCTCTGCAACAGCACTTAATGTATCCAGGTGTGATCACATACTTACCTGCCTGCCCCTTCCCTTGACTGTGATTGCCTTGAGGGTTGGGCTCTGCTTTTCTTCTGGCAAAGCAGCTGCACAAAATGGGTGCTCAATAGGTGGTTGTGGAAAACACAAGGGGAGACAGGTTGGAAATATGATTAAGATTTCTAATCATGGCTGGGCGCGGTGGCTCACGCCTGTAATCCCAGCACTTTGGGAGGCTGAGGCGGGTGGATCACCTGAGGTCAAGAGTTTGAGACCAGCCTGGCCAACATGGTGAAACCCCGTCTCTACTAAAAATACAAAAATTAGCCAGATGTGGTGTGGCATGTGCCTGTAATCCTAGCTACTCTGGAGGCTGAGGCAGGAGAATCGCTTGAACGTGGGAGGTGGAGGTTGCAGTAAGCCGAGATCACGCCATTGCACTCCAGCCTGGGCAACAAGAGTGAAACTCCATCTCAAAAAAAATGAAAAATAAAATAAAGATTTCTAATTATTTGAAGCTTTACAATTTCTCCCCATTATCTTTGAGAGAGGAGCCAAAGTCCTTAGCTCTAAGTTGGCTATTGTCAATCTCAGCTCCTGTCCCACTCTCGTGGGTTTCTCGTTCTTCTACATAAAGTGAACATAGAAGTTTTCATTTATGCTGTGCCCTTTCTTGCACCTTGAATCTTATCTTTCTGTTATTTTTACTTGCCTTTTATGTATGATTCCAGACTCACCTTAAATGCCACTTCTCCTGCCTTTGCAAGATGGAGTTTTGTCTGCTTCATAATACTTCCTTAGTGCCCAGCATAGCCTCCTATTGCAACCTTTATTTTATTTTTTTAAATAATTGGCTTGCATGTCTGTATACCACTATGCCATGAATTTCTAGGACAAAGTACAGAACATAGCACCCTGGAGATGGTGAGTGTTAAATAAATGCTCATTGGATCATTGAATGAGGAGGGTGATATTTCGCTGAGGAGAAGAGTCATTCAATCTAGGTCTAATCTCAAACCACAGATCTTATCTTTAAAATATAAAATAAAAAAAGATATCTAGGAAGATGCCTGTAAACATGATAGGACACATTTTCTAGAGAAACGAAACTTTCTGCAACTAAAGACTACTTAATATTTGTGTTAGATTGCTGGCCTTTTAACCTGATCACTTGGGATACCATTTCTTAAGCACTCATGTGCAAGATACTGTGCTAGTAGTTTTAAACAATTCATGTCATTTAATTCTCAAAACTCTAAGATGTAGGCTCAAGCATTATACTTTGTTAAGAATAAGAAAAATTAGACCTAGCATGATTAAATACCTTGCCTAAACTCCATCTGCTATTAGCAGAACTAGGACCCAAATCCAGATATGATTATCACTATAACATAAAAAAAAAAAAATCTTGGCTCAAAAAAGGGTCTTTTTTTTTTTTTTAACCTAAGGAACAGAAAAAATTTCTGGCATAATGGTTTGAAATATGATGACCTGTGATCTATCCCCAATTATTATGAATGATTACCTGTTTCTTTTTCTTTTTCTTCTTCTTCTTCTTTTTTTTTTTTTTTTTTTTGAGATGGATTCTCACTCTGTCACCCAGGTTGGAATGCAGTGGCGCAATTTTGGCTCAGTGCAACCCCCGCCTCCCAGGTTCAAGCAATTCTTGTGCATCAGCCTCCTGAGCAGCTGGGATTACAGGTGCATGCCTGGCTAATTTTTGTATTTGTAGTAGAGGCAGGGTTTCAGGTTGGTCTCGAACTTCTGACCTCAAGTGATCCACCCGCCTTGGCCTCCCAAAGTGCTGGGATTACAGGTGTGAGGCACCGCACCCGGCTTATGAATGATGATCTTTAAAACAACCAGTAAAAAGAACTTTCTAAAGTTTGCACATGCTTCAAAGCCTAGTAAGCAGCAGTGATGATGATAAATACAAGTATAGACCAAGCAAAAGCAAATACTTACCTCCTTTATAGTGCCTAGAATAGTGTGCCATTTCCTCTAACTTTTGTTGAATTAATGAATAAGTAAATAAATAAAGAACAGACAGTAGAACAAATCTATAAAATATCTCCCCCAGAGAACCATATTTCAAATAGGAAAAAAATCAAAAATGGGATAATGGAAAAAATTCAGACAATTGTTATTATATCAAGAGGAGAGTGAACTAGAAATTCTGCCACTGTCAATATAGCAGTCTATGGATTGTAGAGAAAACTTCCACAGACCCAAATTGCCCACCAAGTATACCCAGGAGGAGAAAAGGTTTCAATCCACTGATAAAGCAAGAATATATCAGGATTTAGAAATTTGAGGTGAATAGGAATGTAGCCCTTCTTCTATAATCACTTTCAGAGCCCTGTGGGCTTTATTGGGCTACACAGCTGCAAAGTCCAAATCAGTTGCTTGGTGGATGGGTACCTCCTATAGCACACAACTGGGGAATTGGCAAATATTTTAATTTTAGGTCATTGTCTAGAAATTACATTTTGTAAAAATCACCTGTCTAGTAACAGAGATAGTGCTATCACAGCTCCAAATGTTGTTGGTATGGTAAAAGTAGTAGAACTTGGAATAGTAAAAAGCTCTGTGTTATAGAAAGTAGATTAGAGACTACTAGCGGTTGGGAGGAGAGGGAAATGGAGAGTATTATTTAATGGGTTTGGAGTTTCTGTTTGGGTGATGAAAAGTTTGGAATATAAGGAAAGAGTTATGGTTGTACAACATTGTGCTGTAATTAATGACATTGAATTGTATATTTTTAGATGGCAAACATGACAAGCTTTTTAATATGTATTTCACCACATTATAAAGAAACCTAATTACATAATATAACCAAAATCATTGAATTGTATAATTTAAATGGAAGAAGTGTAGGGATTGAACTATATTTCAATAAAGCTGTTAAAAAATAGCTCTGTATTAATTTCCTAGAGGTGCTATAGCAATTTACCACAAACTAGGTGGCTTAAAACAATGTAAATTAATTCTTTTGAAGTTCTGGAGACTAGACATCTGAAACTAAGATGCTGGCAGAGCTACACTCCCTCTGAGGTTCTAGGGAAGAATCCTTTATTGCCTTTTCATAGCTTCTTGTAGCTCCTGGCTTTCCTTGGCTTGTGGCTGCATCACTCCAATCTCTACCTTCATATTGTCTTCCTTTCTGTCTGGCTTATCTTCTGTCTTTGTAAAGACACTTTTTTTTTTTAATTTATAGCTTACTTGCTTAATTCAGGATAATCTTATCTTGAGATCCATAATTACATTTTCAGAGACTCTTTTATTCAAAAAGGGTCACATTTGCAAGTTTCAGGACATGGTCATATCTTTTAGGGGCCACTGTTCAACCCACTACAAGTGCCCACCCTCAGTGAGGGTTTACTGTGTTGCAGGCACTAGTTTTTAAGCATTTCTACTTAAAATATTTAGTTTTCAAAACAACCCTAAGTAATAGGTACTGTTATCATCTATGCTCAACCGATATCGTAACAGAGACTCAAAGAAGTTAAGAAATTTGTTCATGGCCATATAATAACTAGTAGAAATAAAATATAGTTGACGGAACTGCAGAGCCTTCCCTCCCAGCCCAACCATAAATTTCTTTTACTGAGAGAGGTACATTGTAGGGGGCCTGATTTCTGTCTTGTTATTTTTTTCCCATTTTTTATCTCTCTGCAAGTTTCTATAATTATTGTAGCAAATAAAAAGGCCCTCTTTCTCTCTTTTTTGTTAAGGAAAACCTGTTTGCTATAAATTTCTGGTTTTTCACTAAGAGATAATAGTTTAGATTTGGATTTGTCTAACTTTGATCTTAACCTCTTTCTGAAAATCTCTCTCACAAAATGCTTAAATGTCATAAGATTTGAGATTTACAGAACATGTGCAAACAGCACTAATTACACAATTGGTGGTGTGTCTTTTGTTAGAAAACCCTGGACCAAATGCAAACCTCTCAGTTCTTACTTCAGCTTTAAATGACATAGTAACTCTGCCGTTCTAAAAAAATGTTCAAATCCAAATATATCTAAGTGAACACTGAAAAAGAAATAAGTGGAATTCAGTACTTTTTTTTTTCTAAATCACTTTTATTAAGACAGCTTTCGAAAGCCATTTCTGTTAAAACATACTACAGTGGAGAAACACGATACAACAATTACTGTGTATAGAATTCATCTTCCATCCTGAGGATAATAAAGGGCCTAGGACTATCACAATTTGGTTACTCCAAAGTGTCTTGTCACAAAAGATTAATGACAGCTACGCTTATCGACAGAGCACTTAGGAGCTCAGTTACCACCATGTTAATATCCAAAGGAGTATTCCCTCATACTGTGGTTTTGTATTTCCTCTTGTAAGTTTCATTTCCTTGCTTTTTCAATTTTACTTTCTGACCGTCTAAGTTAATTTTCATCACTTCCTTTGGTCTTTTTCAGTTTAAATCTCAATTTTGTGATCTGTCCCATATCACAATCCACTGGAGCATTATTTAGTAACCACTTTTTTCCCCCTAGTTCACGGCCACAGAACTAGTGACAAAGTATCCTTGTTTTCTTACAGAATACAACATGTTTGCTAAACAATACCTTTCATTTACCTAGTTTTGAAATTCTTTCCTGGACATTGATATTTTTATCTTTAAACTTAGATGATCATTATTTATGAAGAAAATTAAACAAGAAACAAATTTATGTTAGAGTAAAGGTAAGTGATTAGTTTAATGATTAAGGCATTAGGGATTTTGCTGTAGTAAAACTGGGATTTGAAACTTCTCCAGGTAATCCGTATGTTACCGATGAGGTAATTCTAGCTTCTTACACTGAAAGGCCATTGAAAATATGCCATCTTTTCTCATATTTTACAGGGAACAGTATCTACAGAAAAAGTTTTCATTTCAGGCTTCCAAAGATTGGTTGAAAATACTTACCTGAATGAACAAGTTAGCTAACTAATAGTAACAATACCCAGTTTTTATTGTTAGAATGTGCCAGACTTTCTACGTGTTTTATATATATTATTTCATTTTTATCCTTCAGGGTAAGTACCATCAATATTGTCTTTTTAACGGGTAAAACAAACAAGTGTAAAGCGTTAAGGAGGTAACTTGCCTTAAGTTATTCAGCTGGTAGGTAATGGAGCAGAGATCAGAGCCTTGTTCTGATTCTCAAGTTTAGCTTTTTAAGCATTTATGGTTGCCCCTCCTTAGTAGTTTATGTTTCTCCAGATTGCAAACGTATTATTTGAATGGCAACAACTAATTGGTTGCAGGTTGCTGGTTACATCCTTAGATGGACTATGTATTCTTTTCCTTGATCCCTGAATGTCTCCTCTTTTATCTCTTTCCAAAATGGACACCCTTGAGCACCATTGTGTGACAATTCTGTGACACTGTCATATTTGCTAACCTGATACATAGTTTAGTGTTTACAGTGCCATGACCAGCAATCCCATTATTAAGAGACAAAACCAGTGTTCCTGCAAACCCCCTACCCGCTCAGGTGCAGCATCCGTTCTTCAGGCCAATCTCCAGTTACTCTCTCAACTACTAAAGTCAAAGGGAATTTTTGCCCGGGTGAGAGTGGTGACACTGGGTCTGATGAGAGTTAAGACTGAGTCTTTGATGATTAAAGAGTCTTGGATCTCAGTAAGATTCTTCATGCAGACCTCAAAAGAGAACTTTGCTTCAAGTAAATGCTTCTCTCTCCAAGTCTCTAAGCTTTAAGAGCTTGGGCTCTAGTTTATGATACTTTAAGTTTTAGAATTTGATTTGCTGGGAATATCAGAAAGATTTTGCTCTGGTCTAATGCTTGGATTTGGCTGACATACAAAGTAAGTAAAAGTCACCTAACAAGATAATCTGCTTTGGATGGGAACTAAGATGATGAAAAACATGTATAGTGAAAAAAATCTCATAATCCAATCCAGTGACAAGCAAAGAAAGCAGTTCACTGCTTTACTGTAGCTGAAAAAGTTCACATTATAGATGCTATAACTAACTGGTGAAGAGATATTAGTCCCTGTTGCTCTTTGATTTATCTCAAGTTCCTCAAATAAGTGCCTAGTATGTGACAAATACTTAATGAATTTGAAATGAATTAATGTTATTGAGTTTGGGTTTGAGACATTTCTATTCTGAGTTTGAATCCCTCCTCTTTCATTAAGTATCAGTGTGAATGTGGGCAACCTAAATCACCTCCTTTTACTTAGTATCCTAATTTATAAAATGGGAATTATAACACCTTCTTAATAAGGTGGGTGTAAAATACATAAATAATATAAGGCACATTCTTAGTACTATGGAATCCTATTTTTTTTTTTTTTTTTTGAGACAAGATCTTACTGTGTCACCCTGGAGTGCAGTGGCAGCGCCGTCTTGGCTCACTGCAACCCCCACCTCCTGGGCTCAAGTGATCCTCCCGCCTCATCCCCCTGAGTAGCTCAGACTACAGGCATGAGCCACCATGCCGGGCTAATTTTTGTATTTTTTGTAGAGATGGGGTTTCACCATATTGCCCAGGCTAGTCTCAAACTCCTGAGCTCAGGCAATCCACCTGCCTCGGCTGCCCCAAGTGCTAGAATTATAGGCATGAGCCACAGTGCCCGACCCTATCACTTTTATAGCAGTAAATAACTAGCATCATCATCATGTCCATTATTATTATGGACATTATTATATAGCACTGCCATGCTTGCCTGCCCCTTCTATCTTCTAGAAAAAATTAGAACAAGGAAGGTGTAGTGTCAATGCCTCACAACCATTGGACTGAATGTGTGGTTTCTTCAAAGTCAAGATGAGGGTTTATTGAGCCATTGATATTTGGAATGTTCTTAGTGTTTTCCACCTTCTGAAGACTGGAAATATAAAAATCCTCATTTGTGCCCAAGTATTATGCATTATAGAAGTTGTGCAAAACTTTATGAGCTCCTGTGCTTGACCAGGAATTAACAAGTTTATATAATTCTTGATGTTTATTTGAGAGAGAAAGGGGATCTTGGGATGGAATCAAGAGGATATTCTGAAAGGAAGCGAAGATGTGGCTTCTCCTGAGTAAGACTTAGAGAATGAGGTCTTATCAGTTTTCAGGCCTGGGGCCCCAACTATATCCTTTGCTCAGAATTTCTCAACATCAGCACTACTGACATTTGAAACCAGATAAACTTTTGTTGGGAGGGGCGATTGTCTTATTCCCCGTGGGACACTTAGCAGCATGCCTGGCCTCTATTTATCAGATGCTAGTAGCACCCCTACCTCCAACTGTGACAACAAAAATTTCTCCAAACATTGCCAAACATCCCTTGGGAGTCAAAATCACCATAGTGCTAAAGTGGCATGACTTTGATAAGGGTTATTTTCAAGTGTGTCTATGTATGGAGGTTGGAATTTCAGGAACCCAGGTAAACATCATTTGACTTTCACCATTAGTAAAGTCCTTTGGTAATTACTGATTACTTCCAACAGTTAGAGGTAAGTAGAAGCTAGATGTCTTCACACAGTCCAGCAACACTATGAAGCATTAGGTCTCAGTGACAGCCAGTCCCCTGTCAAGCTCCTGGCACACAAACAGACATTGTTAACACTAGGTGCATAAACGGTCATGCAGCCTATTCCTTATAGGTAAAGACTCTACTTTCCATCCTTATAGACCCTTTGAAAATCCCACTGACTCTCAAACTATTCCATTTTTGGGGGGAACAGATGCTCAAGCCTTCTAGATCTGGAGTACTAACCCAGAGGCATTAAAGTCTCAAGCTTTTCAATAATACTTTTCAACAGTGTCTCCAAAAAGTCACTTTTGTGACTTTTTAACAACAAAAATTCACTTCTAATATCCTTTATTGTAACTAATAAACTCTGGCAAATTTATATAGTAGCATTTGAAGAACTAACAATAGCTGCCTCTGGAGTGTACATAACTGACTGAGAACCTTTAGGAGCTAAGGAAAACCCTAGAATGTAGATTCCTTATTAGGGTACCTCAGATGTTATTCAACTATCGCTACACTCTAGACAAAAGTTATTTTACACAAATTTTCACTACACAGTTGGTACTGTGCGTTGTAAAGAAAATTGGACCCACGCTTGCATAAAAAGAGTTGGGCTGGGCATATTGGGCAAAGACCAGGAGGTCATTCTTTGAATTTTGGTTGGATAAACCCTGAGATTCAAACATGCTTAGATTTTATTCTCAAATTTAGAAGGTAAGATCTATTTATATTTGAAACACATATATATATTTAAAAACCATTTATGTAGGAGAAAGATAGGACATTTCTCATCTCTCTCAGGTGGAATAACCTTACTTATTACATGGGTCTTCTCTGAGTTCAGTTTTAAGTTTAGGTTCTTCTTTTACCTTGACAACCCCCAATTTCATGCTGCCTTTCCTCTATCTATGGTAACTATAATCTTTTCGCTAGCTTTTAAGTAGGAATTTTAGTCCCAGCTGTAAAAACCTATTTTCATTGCAATGAAATAACTTTTAATGATAGAGAATAGGAAAATTTGCCTCTAAGGGCAAAAATTGATGTGCTCTTATTTAGTTCTGGTTGGGATTCTCATTTTAGCATCCAAGGGTGCATTTGTATGTGCCCTCGAAAACCCTATATTTTGGGGCTCTTACATGTCATCTTTCCAGATACCAAGGTATCCTAAAGCTACATAATTATCTATTGTAATTATTATAACAATATCTATTATTGCTTGCTCCTATTACAATGTATTATGATATATATATCATTTATTGATATATAGATATCTATCTATATAAATATATAATGAGAAGAAACCTGAGATTCCAAAGCCTGTTTTTATTCCAGATTATTAATTCTGAGCTGGATTTGATCATTATTTTTATCTAAATAGTATTAAAATATGACTTTTTCAATCTTGTTTTGGTTTTAGAAATATTTACACATTGGAGTAGAGATCCATCTCAGTGCCTAGCCTGGACTCTAAACACAATAAAATGTTTTTTGTTCCCTCAGCATGCTATGCTTCTAAGTGTTTTTTCTTCCTTTTTGTTTGCAACAGTTTTTTGTCTACCTGAAATAACCTTCTCTTCTTTTTCCTTTATCTTGTCTTTCTCCTACAGATCTCATTATCCTGTTGTGCCTTTTTTTTTTTTTTTTTTACCTTCTCCAGAAGTGGGAGATGCACTGCCTTGTCCCCTCTTCACTGATGATGCTGTCCTGTAGCCATTTGCCATCCTTGCTCTTTTTGAACGTGGCTGCCAGCTTTTTGGAGAAGGAAATATGGTGTAGCTATTATTGCATTTGGAGAAACTAGCACAATTTATGACTAAGGAAGAGCATCAATAGATACATCCTGAATTGACTTGAAATTAAAATTTCAGCCTTCTTATAATTTACATATCTGATACTTTAGAGTGCATGCTTTTTAGTTGACAAAGGAAGACATTTGGAATGGGAAGTGGGGAGTGTCATTCCAAAAGCAGCTGCAGTAGAAGCATTAGAACTACCTCGTCCAGCCAGCCCTGTGTGACAAGGTGGGCAGCATATGGCGGGACAAGCTTTCGGAACGCTGACAGCAGTGGGGTATAGCACGGAATAGAAGATGGGGGCACCATAACAAGACACTATGTTTGATGATCTTCAGTAAAGTTACTAAGCTCGTGTGTGCTCAAAGTGATGAGATTCCTTAGAAGAATCGAAGGAGGACAGAATCTTGGGTCTGAATTTGACACGTGGGTTCCTGGGAATGTCTATGAAAACAGGCATGGAAATAGGGGCAATGAGAAAGTAAGATGGGAAATTGGTAGAAACTCTGAGTGTGTGTTTGTGTGTGTGTGTCTGTGTGTTAATAAACAGTGGGAACACACAAATTTTAAAATTTAGAGCATTCAGGACCATTTCACTTAAATCTCAGAAGTACAGAAAGGCTCCCAAGAATCATGTTACAGATACTTTATGTCCACGATTTCGTTTGATTCTCACATTAACATAATGAAATAGACACAAAGTAGTTATTGTTATCATTTCACAGATGAGGAAATGCAACTTAAAGAGGTTAAGTTCATAATAATTAAATTATGTTAAATTATTCATTTAAATGAATACTAAGAGGCAGAATTATGTGCTGAGTATTGTATGCTTCACTTCATTATCTCATTTAATCATCTCAAATACAACAAGAGGTCGCTACTATTATTATACCCACTTTTCAGTCGAGGAAACTGAGAGGTTAAGCTGGTTCCTCAGTGTCACACAGGAAACCATGAACTGAGAATCAGGTCCATCCATTCTAAAGCCTCTATAGTTAGTCACTGTGATTTTACCTTTGCAGCTTATGAATCTTAAAATCCAGTCTTCTTCAACACTACTTTTCTCCTACTCCATTACAAACAAACAAGTAAATCAGAAAAAAGAAAAAAAAAAAAAAGGAAACAATCCAGGAGATGATTTCAGCCCCGACTTTAACATTTGCTCATTCATTTTAATCGTGCTCTATGACAACAAAGGAGTGTGGGGATTCCAAGTACAACCAGTAACTTGTTCCATATTCAGAATGGGCCCTCACATCCCATCGCCTGGCCACATGCTCTGTTCATTCCTGTGATCACAGACACAGCCAGCAACCCGTTCCATCACCTCCTGCCTCTTTGCATTTCAAGTGTTTCAGGGTGCCTGCAGACAGGAACTCATTTATCCCTCCATGTGATGATAAAGTCACTGTCCCATTCCTCTCAAATGGTGAGAGTGAGGTACTGGAGGGAGGAGGAGCCCTTTCTAAAGGTCATACTGAGATGGGAGTGGAGCCCTGGGGACCTGGATCCCCCATCCCACCAGGGCTGCCTTCCTCCTCCTCAGCTGTCCTATTGATTTTCTAGAAAAGAGATACAAGCATCAGGCACAGGAATGATGGGTTGTTAGCATTTGATGATAATGGTTATCACTGGGGGAAACTTTGAATAGAAGATTTTTATCAGCGAACTGATTCAGGACTAAAAATATTTCAGAACGATCTGATTTTCTGTGTTTAGTTAGAAATTCTTCCCCACCTCCCTCTTGAAAACTGATCTCTGGGTGGGGGGAGGGGGTGGAAAGGAAGCTTAAGAAAATTCCTCAGGCCAGCTGTGGCGGCTCACACTTGGAATCCCAGCACTTTGGGAGGCCAAGGCGGGAGGATCACCTGAGGTCAGGAGTTTGAGACCAGCCTGGACAAAATGGTGAAGCCCTGTCTCTACTAAAAATACAAAAATTAGCCAGGCGTGGTGGCGGGTGCCCATAATCCCAGCTACTTGGGAGGTTGAGGCAGGAGAATCGCTTGAACCCAGGAGGTGGAGGTTGCAGTGAGCTGAGATCACGCCATTACATTCCAGCCTGGACAACAAGAGTGAAACTCTGTCTCAAAAAACAAACAAACAAACGAACACCCTCAGTTTAAATTTTTTTGAATAAATAAAATCCTAAATTACACATGGCTAGATTTCCATTTCAGAAGCCAGTTTTCTGATAGCCATATAATTAAAACCCTCTTATTTAAAATAATGGAATAAAATCTATGTATTATTAATCCGTGGTTTCCTAAACTTAAATATATTCTTTCCTTCCTAACTTTTGCCATATCCAAATATGGCTTCTATTGTTATTTTTTAAAGAAACTTAATATTTTTCTTTAAATTGATAATTTTTTAAAAAGCTTACTTTCTTTAGTATGTTTCCAATATGCCTCTATAAAAAAGGTACTAATAACACTACACAAATACATAGCTAATAAAATAAAACCTATTTGTTCATATAACACCTAAAACCATGTCACATACTACCAGCAGCAAGCTTTCTACCTCTTAGATGGCCTTTTCTATTATTGGGCTAAGGCAATAGAGATAACGTTCAGGAGCTCCAGGAGAAATATGTTAAGGATCGGTGGAATGATCTCTGACAGAGATCATTTATAAAGTAAATAATATATTGATGTGTGTACATCTCCTTTGATTTCTTGACTTCAATACTGATTGATTTTAGAGTTAGGCATTGATAGAGTTTGGCTGTGTCCCCACCCAAGTGTCATCTTGAATTGTAATTCCCACGTGTTGAGGGAGGGAAGTGACAGGATCATGGGGGCTGTTTCCCCCATGTTGTTTTCATGATGGCGAGTTCTCATGAGATCTAATGGTTTTATAAGGGACTCTTCCCTCTTTGCTTTCTCTTTCTTGTGAAGAAAGTGCCTGCTTCCCCTTCACTTTCTCCCATGACTGTGGGTTTCCCGAGGCCACCCTAGCCATGAAGAACTGTGAGTCCATTAAACCTCTTTTATTTATAAATTACCCGGTCTTGGGTAGTATCTTTATAGCAGTGTAAGAACAGACTAATACAGGCATCTTCTTTCACCAAAGCAGCGAGGTAGGTTTAATAAATTGGGCAGCATGTAATGCCTAGCAGCTCTTTTCCCTATCAGCAGTCTAGAACCTGAAAGGAACATTATTTTTTTCAGCTCAGATTTTTTTCCGCATGTGTTTTTTTCTACTAAAGATATAGACAATGTAGCTGAAACTTAAGTATACTTTTGTGGGGTCATGTTACTTTATCAACTTAATACTTACACCATTTGCTCCAAAAAGAGGTGTCCATCTCCTTATTCATACCCTGCTTCTCTCCTGCCACAGTGCTGACATGTTGCATAGTAAGCAATTAATCTAACCCAAAAGAGAGGGCTGGCCTTTGCCCTTGGCTCCTGGGAGGTGATGTCTAGGCCATGGAAATGTCCTGCCTGATAAGAGTACCTTTGTTTACCTGGGAGGTTGGGCCACTCTGGACAGCCCAAACACATGATTAATGATAAGGCTTCAGGCCCTGTAGTATCCATTCATCTTCTAGAGGGGCTGTAGACTAAAGGTCTGGCACAGAGGCAGTCAACTCTGTCTATGTGATTGAATTTCAATAAAAACTCTGGATACCAAGGTCCGGTGAGCTTCCCTAATAGGTAATACTTTGTGCATATTGTCACAAATCATTGCTGGTAGAGGTAATGTCGGGGGCTCCATTGGGAGAGGATAACTGGAAGCTCCACATTTGGAACCCTTCCAGACTCTGTCCCACACATCTCTTCTTTTGCATGACTTTAATCTATATCCTTTCACTTTTATAAAACAAAACTATGAGTATAGCAATCATAATATTCAGTGAGTTCTGTGAGTTCTTCTAGTAAAGCATTGACCTCAGGGTGCGTACTGTACCCCCACCATCACACTCATCATCAGCACTGTGTGAATGACAGGCACTGTAATATCATAGCTGAATAACTTGCAGCCCTATTCCCCATTAAGCAACTCTGTGACCTTGAACAAGTTACTTAGATTCTCTAAATTTCTGTTCATATAATGGGAATAATACTATCATGTACTTTGTGGAGTTGTGAAAAATCAGTAACATTGCTGTGCTGAGCCATATTAGAACCTGAGGCAAAAGGAAAAATTGGTATTGATTTATTCTTTGTTTCAATTTCTGACATTTTGTTCATCACAAATATTTAATAATTTTTATTTAAAAAATTCACTAAAAATTATTTATCTTGACTACCAAGTTTTTGAGAGGCCCTCAAATTTTCCACCTAAGATGAAAGCTTTAATCATCTCACCTTACTCTTGGCTCTAGAGTGAAGATGAACAGTAATAATGAAAATAAATTGCATACAACAGGGTCAGTCGTATAGGGAACACTCGATAAATAACATGTAATTCTTGCAGATATTGTTGTTGTCGTTAACTTAGACATGACTTTGGAGATTTAGTGCTATGTTAATGAGGATTAAAAAGAAACTATAACTAGAGACAGAAAATGGGCAGTAGTTTTAGCATAAAGGAAACATGAAGAGTTTATTTCCAAGTGTTGCCTGTAAAGATTAAGCAGTGCACGTAAGTATGAGTGCTGCCGCGTGAGTTTTTTAATTTATTATATGAAAAATGGCAAATGAATAGGTTGGAGGCTCTTTATAAATGTTAGCATTTATCAAAAGATGTTAAATTTGTAAAGATTATCTTTTTTTTTTTTTTTTTTTTTTTTTTTTTTTGAGACAGGATCTCACTCTGTCACCCAGGCTGGAATGCAGTGGTGCAGTGACAGCTCACTGCAGCCTCCACTTCCTGGGCTCAAGAGATCCTTCTGCCTCAGCCCTCGGAGCTAGTGCTACAGGTGCATACCACCGTGCCCAGCTAATTTTAAATTTGTTTGTAGAGGCAGGATCTCCTTATGTTACTTAGGCTGGTCTTGAACTCCTGGACTCAAGTAATCCTCCTGCCTTGGCCTCCCAAAATGCTAGGACTATGGGTGTGCACCACTGCTCCAGGCCAAGATTATCTTTAAACAAATAGTACATTCAACATTCAGTACATTGAAATGCTTAGGAAGTATAATATTCTAGTTAAATAAATGTACCCGGAGAATTTATTTCCGATTCAGCTTCTGCTATTGAAAATTCTCTGTAAAACATCTCCACCGACTTCCCTACCACAGTAACTGGAGTAGATGGAGCACAATAACCTGGAGGCATTCTTGTGGACATTCATGATTCTTGGTTCAATCTGTGTTTATAGGTGTTGGAGACAGAGCTGTGACTTTTGAAACTTAATCCCTTACAAAATACACGTTTTTCATCCACAACTTGTATCTTACTTCCTGAGGGAGATAAATAAAACTAAATTCCTGCTGTGGTATAATAAAAAATAAATATTTGTTTTTTTTTTTTTTTTTGTCCCAAGGTTCTGAAAAACTAACCAAGTAATTGGAGGGTTAGAACTCCTCCCCAGTCCCCCATCTCAGGAGAAAGTGGGGGAGAGGGGTTTTAAGCACAAATGATGAATAATGGTATCAGTCAGGCCTATGGAATGAAACCTTGATGAAACCCTCTAAATGAAGGGGGTTGAGGAGCTCCTGAGTTGGTGAACACATTGAGATGCTGTGAGAAGAGCTCATCTGAGAGCACGTGGAAGCCCTGCTCCTGGCCCTCCCATAGCTTGTCCTGTGCAGTGCTGCTTTTTAGCCGTCCCTGAGTTGTAGCCTTTCAAACAGAAATCTCAGCAATAAGGAAAGTATTTTCCTGAGTTCTGTAAATCATTCTAGCAATTATAGAACCTGAGGAGGAGTTTGTGGGGACCTCCAAATTTATAGCCAGTGAGACTGGCATGTGATGTGGAGGCAGTCTTGTAGGCCTGAGCTCTTAATCCTTGGGGTGTGCCCCACTGTGGGAAGTTAGTGTCAGAACTGAATTGTTGGAAACCCAGTTGGTGTCAGAGAATTAGAGAACTTCTAATATAGTTTACATGTATTTATCCTTACAAAAATCTTGCTGGGCTCCTTCAAATCTTTTGGAGTTATTCTAGTTTTACAACTGCAGTAAACACATTGGCTATGACCAAAGGTTCTCTCTGCTTCTTATTATTTCTATTAATTCCCTAAAATGAATTAGCATTTTAGAAAGGCTTTACAATTTAATTAACTGATGAAATTCCTATAAATAGAATATTTACATCTTTTAGTGTTGTATAAATAACCAGTTTATTGGATAAGTTTTCCATTAGTTATATTGTCATCCTTCATTCCAGGATGAACTGTTTCTACTTCTAAGACACAATCTGTTCCCGCATAGGTACTCTTGAAAACTAAACTCAGAAGGTAGGAAGGAAAATTGAGAAATGGAAAAGGCATCTGAAGTTTACAGCAGTGTTATTCACAATGTGGTGTTTAAACCAGCAGCATTTGTCTTACCTGTAAGCTTGTTAGAAATGCAAATTCATTGGCTCCACTTCAACTTATGGAAGTGGGATGGGGCCCAGGACACTGTGTTCAACAAGCTTTTTAGGTGATCCATATGCACAGTAAAGTCTGAGAACCACTGCTCCATATATAGTTTAGTCAAAGGTATGTTCAGGTGAGTAAGTCAGCAGTGATGAGAAGCTCAGATTAAATGGTAGGGTGACAAACTCTTCTAGTTTGTCTGGGGCTGTGAATGTTCTGGGATGCAGGACTTTCAGGGCTACAATCAGGTAAGTTCCAGGCAAACTGGGACAAGTTGGTGATCATGATCAAATGGTTTTGTGAGTATTTGAAAAGCTAGCATGCCTCACATTTAATTTTGTCTCTACTGGATATCCTTTATTCCCCGAGTGATTTCCCTCAGGCTCTGAGCATGACCAGATTAATATGGCTATCTTGTGGGTCATAGATTTGGGGAATTCAATAAGGTAGTTAGTTAGAGCTGACATTTTGTTCTTGCTGTGACTGCTGGAGTTTGATTACACCAGAGTGTGTGATCCATAACTTGCTTCTCTGCTTAATTCCTTCTCACTTCAATGTTATATATGCAACAGGGCTCAAACATGGCAGAAGCTGGGAATGACTTTAAAGTTCTTTAAAGCCACTTACATTTATTTATTTTATTTTTCTTTGTTGTCTATGTCTGTTTGCTCTAGCCTAGGTTATTATGAATCCCTTTTTTTGGTTTCCTAACTGAGCGGAATTCTTCATTAATAGTATAAGTTTGCACTTACGTCAATGAGTCTTATTTTTCAATAGTTTTTGGGTATTATTACAATTTTAGATGTTGCAAAAGTGCTGTAAATGCCACTGAGAGTTGATTAATACAGTTAACAGCTACTAGTAATTATGAATGTCATTTTTACTTTAAATGTGGCTTTATTTTAGCATGACTTTGAAAGCTTAATTCTAAGGAAATAGAGTAGAAATTGTTCCAAAGAAATCAGGTTTATCTTTTGTGAAGTTCAAAGCAGAAATAAAACAAAACAAAACAAAACATCCCCCAATTTGTCTATCGCTAATGAAATCAAATGAGTTGATGGGTATGTGTTTCTTCAAACATAATAACTCTGTACAAATTATTTGTTTTTAATGTCATAAAAGCCCATGTTGTATTATTTGGTTTTCTTAAAGCTCTTACAATGAGGACTCAATTATGTTGCATTCACAAACAATTAGGTTTGACTATTTGGATGCAAACTATTGTTGCCAACATTTTGCAGCATTTTTTAACTAGTAAAAACATTCTGCTTTGTCTATTAAAATACTCATTTTGTAAATTGTTTTTCCATGTGATTTAGACTGTAGCACAAATGCTTTTTCTCTCTTTTTGTCGCTAATTTTTCCCCTGTTTATCCACACGATTTGCTGGATAAATCCTATGAATTATCTCTGAAATATGGGCTTGCTTTACTGAATTAAGGACTCAGTCTCAAGTTTGAGAGAACTTTAGATCCAAGCTAAATGAAAGAGTCATTTCCAAAGGCTTTACTATACCCATTTAGTAGTTGCTCAGTAACTTCAATCCCCAACATGTGCCAGATTGTATGGTCTGATCCATGAACCTCGGTGGTACACTCCGGCCCAGAAGGCAGAGTTCTTCATTATTCTGGGCCAGGTTTTGAAGTCATCACATATGATGAGAATTAGGTGTGTTCAAAAATTAACCACTGAATAACTCTTAGGAAGCTACGCTTGGTACCAACATACTATTGTTGCAGGTACAACACAGTTTTTCTTTTAAGAATGGAAAAGGTTATCTGATTTTGATTGTGCACTAGATGAAATACTTGGATCATATTCTCGTCATTAGAGCAAAACTGTATATCCTCAAATATTAGAATTACACTTGGCATGTGGAGTGGGGCCAAAAATCTAAACAGTGTATGTATTAGAACCACCTGTGGAAACAAGAAATTCAAGACCTTCATCTCACTCCCACTCCACGTCTGCCTGAATTAAGGGCAACGGCAGGCGGCAGACATGCCTTCAGTTTAAATGTTCATTCATTCTCTCCCCTTCTCTTTGTGCCTTGATTCCTTTCCCTGTCATTTAGTTTAGTTTCATCATAGGCCTTTACAAATTAGGTTTTGTTTTTATTCTCATTTTGCAAAAGTTAGTGACTCTCCCATCAGAGAGAAAGTAGAAAGTAGCAGTGCCAATATTTAAATCTAGGCTTCCTATCACTGAAACTTCTACCTTAGTCCCTGTGCTACATTATTATACAACATACCCATGAGCAGTCTTTGATGACATTGTATAAGAAACAAAAAGCCAAAATGTTAGGTAGCCCCAAACCCTGAAATATACATCCAGTGGGAAAGTTGTTGCTGTCTTGTCACTGCTTTTGCAGTGATGGTCTTACAGACATCTGTATAGGCAGATGCTTGACTACTTTTCATTCTATTTCCTAAACCTCTGGGACTAGGTTTCCAATATCACCTCTTTCCAGTTGTAACCAAGGTTTTGACACAACTAGGGCTCTGATATTGGTAGAAGGAAGTTGTTTGAGAGCCCTTCTCCCAAGTTGAAACCAATGATTACATAAAAGTCTTATCTATAGAACTTTGTTCAGTATAATATAATATAGTCCATTGGTAATTTTGGAACTGGAGGGACTAATTCAGTTGCAGTTTACATGAAACTTTAGCAAATTGGACTGACCAAGATGTTTGAGTTATGCCTATGCTAGCCACAGTAATAAGTGTCCTGTTAATTTTATGAGCACAGAAACCACTATGAAATTTTCTGTGCCTCAGTTCAGCATGTGTGTCTACTATTCCTTATCGAAGATCTGCTTTCCAAGTTAGAATCCAAATATAAATGCATCGGGCTATATATATGGGGGTTCACAACATAAGAGATGAATGCAATGGTCCATGTAATTATAGCAATATAAGCTTCTAAGCCATCAATGAGCTATGAGTGCATTGCAAAAGCTAGCCAAGCAAATCAAGCTTTGTGATATACCAGCTTTTTCTTTATTTCAGAATCACTTTTTAAAAAAAAAAAAAAAGAAATGAAAACTTACTAACCTTTCACTCAATACAAAATAATGACGGACTCCTAGTTCGTTTATATTCAGCTGGGGTAACATATTTATTCAGGTGCCAGATGTAGAGTGTCAATGGATTAAAGTATATAGGCAAAGTGGGCAATTGTACTGTAAATGTAACTTAAGTGAATATGGCCTGCAAAGATATTATTGATTTATTTTATCTAATTTGGTTTGTATTGCAATTCAAGCTCAAGATGGAGGGTTGAAGTCATTTGTCTTCTATAGGTGAAATGACTTCAGGTCACAAGGGAACCGAACTAAGTGAATAGGAAGTCTCTTTGTTTGAGGACGCAAAGAGAGTGGAAATATTTTCCAGTATGAAGAGGGTAGAGAGAGGGAAGTGTTGTGCTTTCAAGGACACTAGGAAATCATATTCCACCAGGAAGAAAACATGCAACCACCACTCAGTAAAACATTCTGATTTCCTTGTCAATATTAAAACAATATCCCTTAATGGCTGATAAGTTGATCTTTGGGAAGCTAGGCATGGGGCTTAGGGATGTTCCTTATCATCGATCACTTTGTAAATCAGCTGAATAAGAAGAAAGGCACCTTTCTAGGTGCTGTACAAAGCACCCTATTGAGTAGGTCATGTTCCTGCCTCAGTTCTCCAAGTGTCCAGGCTTATGAAGAAAAGAGAGAGAAGCTTGTGGGCACAGAAGAGCAACGTTCTCTCTCTTAACCCTTTTTCTCTTGAAATTGTTACAAAATTGCTTAATACTAAATTTAGTGTTGAATGATTGAACATGAATGCTGAAAAGCAAACTATTTAGTTCCATTAAACTATTGTGAGAATATTATATTATGTGGCTTTAATCCCAGAATTATTATAGCCTAAATTCATGATGATTATAAAGAAAAAGAGAATAATTAGGACTTTAAAAATAGGGTTGTCAGAAAGCAAACTTTGTACAATTCATTAGTTTAGGTACTCTGACATATCTCTGTGAAACATGGAAATATTCATATTCTTTCCAATTAAGATGGGGAAACTGAGGCCTAGGGAGGCCTGGTGAGCAGTCCAAGGCCACCTGGGGTGACCATAAGAGTTTTCAAGGTGGAAAAGTGATTGGCACTGCATGCCAGTAAGAGTCTCTTGGCTCCGCTGCTTCTAGAGTTGCAAAGAGATCTATTAATTAAACAGAACAGTCAGACAGCTCCCTAGGAGTCTTTGGATATGAAGTCTCTAATGATTTCATGCAAAATGTCCCAGACCTGAAACATCTGTTCTGGAGATACAGTCAAGTTCCACTCCATAGTCCCAAGTTAACAACTTATTTTATTTCCTTTTATTTTATTTTTTTAAGCACGTAGCAGCTGTCCACTTATTTCAGAGGACAGACCTTGGTTTTAAACCTCAGTCAGAGAATGCTACATAGAAAACTCTCCACACTTCACTGTATGTGCTAATTAGAACTTCTTACACAAACACATAAATTCATTTATACACTGATGAATTTTCATTTTCCAAATAGCTCCACTATAAAGGCCAGAAAAGTAAAAAATAGTCCAAGGAATTTAACGTTTATTTTTATGCAAGCTTGGATGATTTTTAGAATTGTTTTGTGTTTGGAGGATTGATTTGCATGTGCAATGCATTTGTTTTTTGAGATTTTGAAACATTTCCTGGAAAAGGGAGGCAAATTTTCTTCATAGAGAGGCATCCAGTTAGATACTCTGAGTTAAACCCAGGAGAACAGAAGTGAAAGAAACAGAAATAATCCCTAGGTCATGCATTCACAGGGCCCAAGGGAAAGAGTGAAGGGCATCAAGGAAAAGATAAAAGTAGCTTATTATTTCACTGCTGCATGGGGTAAATTTGTCTCCAGTGTGAGCCCTACGGTGAATAAAGAGAAATCACCTAGGTCTCTTTCTATTGCATCCCTTCAATAAGGGACAGTAGGTAAATGTCATAGTCTCATCTCTCCCATAGAAATGCTAATTTATGTGCTGTTTCCTTTTTAAATCATTCCTCACTTTACCCTCATTAAACACACATAAACACACATTCATACGTATTTATTCATCCATCTACCCATCTATCCATCCAATATATACTGAGCACCTACTATTGGCCTGGCACTCTCTGGGGCCCTCGAACAAGACAGAGGTCACAGCTTTTATCTGCTTCTACACAGCTCACAATCTTGTGGGAGACCCATATAATTACAAAGTAAATCAAATCCATAATAAAGATACTTTGAGTACAAAGAACTGTTAGAAAGAGTATAATGATAAATAATTATTTGGAGAAACAGAAGTCCTTTGGGTAAGAAGTTGATCATGAAAAGCCCTCCTCAATAAGATTAAATTATATGACTGATGGAAAAGAATTAACAATGCAGTGTTTTGAGGAAAGAATCTTCCAGAAAAAGAGAAGAAAATTCACAATAGCTGTGAGGCCAGGACAGATTTTTTTTTTTAAATAGAAGGTCATAAAGTTTAGAGCATAATGATTGTAAATTGACTTATTGGAGTGTGGTGTAGGATGAAGCCAGGGAGGTTAACAGGAGCTAAATCATGAAAATATCTTATAGGCTATTAAAAAAAAAAACATTGACATTTCCTTCTTTATTTAAACTTTGATACAATTTTCTACATAACATCTATGGGCTAGGCATTGCACCAAATATTTTACGGATGCTATTTCATGTCCCTTCATAACAATCCTGTGAGGAATGCAACAATATCCTCATTTTGCAGATAAGAAAACTAAAACTCGGCCAGGCACGGTGGCTCATGCCTATAATCCCAGCACTTTGGGAGGCCGAGGCGGGTGGATCACAAGGTCAGGACATCAAGACCATCCTGGCTAACAAGGTGAAACCCCGTCTCTACTAAAAATACAAAGAATTAGCCAGGCGTGGTGGCGGGTGCCTTAACTAGCTGACATGTTGTATATATAATGCAGGTGAAACATACACAGAAACAACCGTCTTCTGAAATAGGAAAGCTGAGATCCTGTTGACCAGAAGAAACTGAGTGTAGAAGAAAGTGTTCCTTAGGTATGACAGTTAATGGTAGTTAGATTCTGAATGATCTCTGCTAAATGACCTCCATTATTAGAGTTTAAATTCTCCATCACAGATAGATTGAAGATTTTCATGATGCCAAGAAGTCATCTATGTAGATATAAGTATATAGATGTGTGTGTCTGCATGTTTACATATATATTCATATACATGAGTTGTATATGAGTGTGGTGCAGGATGTTCCTATTCATATGTATTCAAATATACTCACATATGACTTATACATTGAGGAAGACTGAATTTTTTAAAATTATACTTTAAGTTTTGGGATACATATGCAGAACGTGCAGGTTTGTTACATAGGTATACATGTGCCATGGTGGTTTGCTGCACCCATCAACACATAATCTACATTAGGTATTTCTCCTAATGCTATCCCTCCCCTAGCCCCCCATTCCCTGACAGGCCCCAGTGTGTGATGTTTCCTTTCCTGTGTCCATGTGTTCTCATTGTTCAACTCTCACTTATGAGTGAGAACATGTTTTCTGTTCCTTTGTTAGTTTACTGAGAATAGTGGTTTCCAGCTTCATCCATGTCCCTGCAAAGGACATGATCTCATCCTTTTTTATGGCTGCATAGTATTCCATGGTGTATATGTGCCACATTTTCTTTATGCATTCTATCATTGATGGGCATTTAGGTTGGTTCCAAGTCTTTGCTATTGTGAATAGTGCTGCCATAAACATATGTGTGCATGTGTCTTTATAGTAGAATAATTTATAACCCTTTGGGCATATACCTAGTAATGGGATTGCTATGTCAAATGGTATTTCAGGTTCTAGATCCTTGAGGAATTGCCACACTGTCTTCCACAGTGGTTAAACTAATTTACACTCCCACTAACAGTGTAAAAGCATTCCTATTTCTCCACATCCTCTCCAGCATCTGTTGTTTCCTGGCTTTTTGATGATTGCCATTCTAATTGGCATGAGATAGTATCTCATTGTGGTTTTGATTTGCATTTCTCTAATGTCCAGTGATGATGAGCATTTTTTCATATGTTTGTTGACTGTGTGAATGTCTTCTTTTGAGAAGTGTCTGTTCATATCCTTTGTCCACTTTTTGATGGGGTTGTTTGGTTTTTTTCTTGTAAATTTGTTTAAGTTCCTTATAGATTCTGGATATTAGCCATTTGTCAGATGGATAGATTGCAAACATTTTCTCCCATTCTGTAGGTTGCCTGTTCACTCTGATGATAGTTCCTTTTGCTGTGCAGAAGCTCTTTAGTTTAATTAGATCCCATTTGTCAATTTTGGCTTCTGTTGCCATTGCTTTTGGTGTTTTAGTCATGAAGTCTTTGCCCATGCCTATGTCCTGAATGGTATTGCCTAGGTTTTCTTCTAGGGTTTTTATGGTTTTAGGTCTTACATTTAAGTCTTTAATCCATCATAAGTTCATTTTTGTATAAGGTGTAAGGAAGGGGTCCAGTTTCAGTTTTCTTCATGTGGCTAGCCAGTTTTCCCAACACCATTTATTAAATAGGGAATCCTTTCCCCATTTCTTGTTTTTGTCAGGTTTGTCAAAAGTCAGATGGTTCTAGATGTATGGCATTATTTCTGAGTCCTCTGTTCTGTTCCATTGGTCTATATATCTGTTTTAGTACCATTTACCATGCTGTTTTGGTTACTGTTGCCTTGTAGTATAGTTTGAAGTCAGGTAGCGTGATGCCTCCAGCTTTGTTCTTTTTGCTTAGGATTGTCTTGGCTATACAGGCTCTTTTTTGGTTCCATATGAAATTTAAAGTATTTTTTTCTAATTCTGTGAAGAAATTTAATGGTAGCTTGATGGGGATAACATTGAATCTATAAATTACTTTGGGCAGTATGTCCATTTTCATGATATTGATTCTTCCTATCCATGAGCATGGAATGTCTGAATGTTTTTCCATTTGTTTGTGTCCTCTCTGACTTCCTTGAGCAGTGGTTTGTAGTTCTCCTTGAAGAGGTTCTTCACATCCCTTGTAAGTTGGATTCCTAGGTATTTATTCTCTTTGTAGCAACTGTGAATGGGAGTTCACTCATGATTTGGCTCTCTGTTTGTCTATTATTGGGGTATAAGAATGCTTGTGAGTTTTGCACATTGATTTTTTATCCTGAGACTTTGCTGAAGTTGCTTGTCAGCTTAAGGAGATTTTGGGCTGGTATGATGGGGTTTTCTAAATATACAATCATGTCATCTGCAAATAGAGACAATGTGACTTCCTCTCTGCCTATTTGAATACACTTTATTTCTTTCTCTGGCCTGATTGCCCTGGCCAGAACTTCCAGTACTATGTTGAATAGGAGTGGTGAGAGAGGGCATCCTTGTCTTGTGCCAGTTTTCAAAGGGAATGCTTCCAGTATTTCAAAGGGAATGCCCATTCAGTATGACATTGCCTGTGGGTTTGTCATAAATAGCTCTTATTATTTTGAGATACTTTCCATCAATACCTAGTTTTTTGAGAGTCAATAAATGGTCTCTCTGTCTGTGTCTCTTTTCTCTGCTTGCCCTTGGAACTTAGCAATCATGTTGTGAGAAAGAAACCCCAGGCCACATGGAAAAGCCACGGTGTTTACTTGTTTCTGCTAATGACCCCAATTAAACACAGTCTACAGATAACTACCAGAAATGTGAGTGAATAAGCTTTCAGATGATTCCAGCTTCCTCCCTTCCAGCCACCCCAAGGGATGCCGAGTAAAACAGAAACAAACTGTTCTCACTAAGTCTTGCCCAAACTTCAGATTTGTAAGTAAAGTGTAAATTTTATCATTGTTTGAAGCACTAATATTTAGGATAACTTGTTATACAACCAGAGCAACTGGAACACACACACACACACACAAACACACACACGCAAAACATTCTTTGAAGATGACATACACGTACACACACACACACATTCTGGCTAGTGGTGGCCTTTAACAGCCTAATTAACTGACTTAATGTTCATTTCCTTGGTCTATTAAGTGGAGATAATAATGGCTCCTAGTACATAAAGTTGTGTAAAATAAATAGGACAATGTTTATATATCTCTTAGCACAGTGCCTGGCACATAATAGGTGCTCAGTGACTGTCACCATAAAATAAAATTACTTATTCTATAAAATAAAATTTAAAGTCATCATTACTGTTATTACTTTGCCATTGGGCATGGGCCCAGTTTACAACTTATGTGTTTTTCCCCTAGAGCTCACTTAAAAAGTTTTCAAATAAAAGTGCCACCCAAGCTGTACTATTATCTAAATAGTTTCTGAAGCATGTAAGAAAATCAGAGCTATGGATAATTAGAGGTCAGCTGAAGAGACCAGTAAAAGACGTCTCACCACATCTTAAGGGAGAAAGAAAGCAAAAGGCTTAGAAACTAGAACAGGTTTTTTTTTTTTTAAGGCAGAATGAATATATATATTTGTCCATGAACTTTATCCAGTTGTGAAATTCAGGATGAAACCTAGACATTTATGTGTTGATGACAGTTGCCACCAATTAAATTTCATCCCAGCACAAATCAGATGGCATAAATCAAGGACTTTGAGGAAAAGGAAGTCATTTTTCCAAGAAAATGTGTTATTCCCTTTTGTACAAATGCTACCTTTTGGGATCATAATTGTATTTATAACAACAGGGCCCATTGTTGTGCTGTGTCATTGTCTAGACTTTTTTTGCAGAAGGCTATTGTTGTTGATTCCATAGTATTCTTTTCCATTTGCACAGGTTTTATTTGTATCATGTCATTTCTTGAAAAAATGAAGGTAAATCCAAGAGGTTCTGGAAATTCTGATTGGTGGGTAGCCTGTTGGGTTAGGTAGACTCCTGAGCACATCTAACTGTCAGATCTAACTGTCAGTTGAAAGCACAAAATTCCCAAACTAAGAGCTACCAGTCTCTATGAATCTAAGATACTCCCATGTCTTGGCCTTATACAATCGCATATTCATCTCTGGTAAGTCAAATAAAAATTACCCAACTGTTTTTTTTGAATCATTTATACCAATTGACGTCAGCATTTGGTGAAGACACTTTGATTAGGAACCTCTCCCCATGAAAAGAGCAGGAGGGAGCACAGGGTTACCTAAGGCACTGTCTTTAACTTAGCTTTAAAATTGCAGGGCTGAACCTGGCACTGTCTATGACTACCCTGTGCAAATCACTGCTGTTGTCCCATGAGACACTTCTGACATCCTAAGCACCTGACACCCAACTTAGAAATTCCAACAACAGGGAAGTTGTTCAAGTCCTCATCAGTGGGTGCAGGAAAAGTCTGAAATCCAATCAGATGTTGTAACTTTGAGTAGACTTATTTTCTCCCATTAGGAGATGGTTGATAGATGCATGATCTTTCTTACTAATGCTCTTGGTAACTCCTCATTCTCCAGGAAACATTTTTCACTCTTTCCTTACTAACTTCCTACCCCTACCCCCTTTTAACATAATCTTCAGCCAGGCTAGAAGACTGTGCTATGAGGAACCATTGCACCTTCTATTTATCTTTATTATCCTGTTTTCATTGCTATTGCTACCTTTACCTGTCTTCCTTGCTTGATTTTATATTCCACAATGGGAAAGACGGTATCTATCATGGTACCCCCAGTACCCCCTAGTGCACAGACTGGCAAAAAGTAAACACAGTAACAGTGAGTGTTGGAAAAAACAGTAAATGAGTGAACAAGCTTACCAGATTCACAGGACCTAAACCTCCTAGTAATTGAACTAATCATTTCTATGGCTTCAAAATGAAATCACAATTTAATTGAAGAAATAGGGTAAATACACAGGTTGGTATTGAACAAGCTTTTAAAAGCCCATAAAATAATAAAGACTACTAGGTACACTGTTGATCTCCTTGCCTGTAATCTCTCAGCTTTCTCATTACCTCCTGAATACTGCTAAAAGTCCAGTTTCACAGGAATTAAAGGAAATAGTGCAGTCATCTTAATTATGTGAATTTAAATCCCCGTCTTGCTTTACATCAGCAGTGTGCCTTAGTTTGCTCATTGTTAAAGCTGTGTTAATAATTTTACTGTTATTTGAGGATTAGAAATAATATACATAAAGCACCTAGTACAGGGGTCAGAATGTGGCAGTATGCATTATGTAAAACCCCTCTCAATAGTAGCATTGTATTCTCATTTTTAAACACTTTCGGTGACTCCCCATTGCCGACCTAAAGAATAAAATTAGGTAACACAGTTAATCCCACAATGGGTTCTTTCTTTTCCAGCCTCAAATCCCTCTATATTTCTCCTATTTCAGATTCTCCATCCAAATTGCCCACTCCTTCTTCTTCAACATGCTTGGAACTTTCAAGACTTTGTACCTTTGGTTATACTGTATTATCAGGCTGGATTGTTATTTCTTATCTGCTGAAATTCCTTTTACTGTGAGAGGCCATATTGAGCCGTGTTTAAGAACATGGACTAACGGGTCCAGTCTACCTGGGTTCAAATCCTAGATCCCTTGCATAATACATCTGTGACCTTGGAAAACTTACTTAACATCTCCAGGCCTCAGAGTCAGTGAGGGTACAATGGGAACAAGAAAACACTTATCTTCCAGGGTTACAAAGATGAAAGGAATTCGCATGCGTAAAGTTATAATAATGTACCTATAACCGTGTATGGAATGAAGTGAGTGCTGCCTGGAATATTAGTTGCTATCATCGTCAGACTCATCATCAATATCATCAACAATAGTTTCTTCAAGAATTCTCCATAAATGCTTTCCCCTGTCATTTGTCACTGTCTGCTCTTTCCTTAGTCTTCTGCCAACACTTTTCTTGTATCTTTATTATAGAACTTAAAAATTATGTTTTATATTATAGTAAATGGTTTGAATGCTTGCCACCACCATAATATTCTATGTTTCTTTAGGGTGAAGGCCATGATGCCCTCTTCCTCATTTTTTCTCTTATAGAAGGATCTTAGAAAAGTGTTTTCATAAATGCTGGACACAGGCTAAGTGTGAAATGAATACGAAAGCATGTGTCTATTTATTATTTACATGTTCTTTTATCTGTCTTCTTGTATGATAACGAGAACATTGACCTCGTCTGTCACTGCTGTAATTCCAGAGCTTAAAATAGTGCCTGTCACAACACAGGCACTTGGGACTCATTTGTCGAATAAAAGAAGAAATAAATGAATCCATGAATTAATGGAAGAATTGATAAATCAAGGCATCTGCATTTGAGGTTTTCTGAAACTCTCTCTGTAGTGAATTAGAAAGTGTGTGCTGTGGCCCTAAGGTTCCTCTTGCATTTCCACACATAAACATGCCTATATGTATGAAGAATGCAAAACGGAAATTATTTCCAGAAACAGGATACAAATTGGACATGGGGGAAACTGCTTGAGTAGGTGGCAGGAAGATATTTGAACAAAAATATCTTGCCTAGAGAAAAGCAGGTGGAATTTGCCTTTTCAACATTTTTGTGCCAAGCTGGATAATTTACTTCTCACCTGGGAACAGTTTCCTTCCTGCAGCCGTAATGTGAGTTTCACCACAGCTGTGGAGCTAAAGTCAAAGTCAAAGACAGAGAAGCATGCTTAGAATCTAGGAGTGCCCTTATCAAACTAGCCTCAGGTCCCTCAAGCGTGAACGTCAGTGACAAAAAATAAGCTACTACACAATCATATTTGAGATCTTTCTGTCCTCTCCTGATTCCAGAAGTAAATATAAATGGGAGCAGTTCAGACACTGCTTTCTTGTACAGAATCTGAGCAGTGAGCATAGTGCAAATAAAAAATTAACACACCAAAACCACAACATTTATAATCTATGGCATGGATTGGCAGTACTTCCTTTTTGTAAATAATGTTTTATTGAAACAAAGTCATATGCATTCATGTAAGTATGACCTGTGTTGATTTCTGGCTACAATGGCAAAGTTGAATAAGTGCGACAGAGATCTGTCTCACAAGTGTAAAATATTTGCTATCTGCCCTTGAAAAACAAAGTTTGCAACTCCTGTTCTCAATAATCTAGAGTAGCTGTTCAGCCTTACATGATACATTAGCTTTGGGATCTGCAAATTGTAAGCCATAAAGGTCTCCTAGGAATTGTTTTATGACCACATGACATATGGAAATGCATTTTTGGATTCTTCATTGGCAATAACTCTGAAGTCATATATGGTTTCTAGTTTCATTTTCTTACAATAATCACCAAATTAAATATTGGTGTCTACTCTCCTAGACTCAACTAATGCTTAATGAGATCTTTCCTTGTATTTTTACTTCATCCATTCCTGTCTGCTGATATTTACCATTTTGTTCATTTACAATTTTCCTGAAAACTGTGAGCTGCTGCAAACTCGTGTTTCAAAACACAATGTGATATTCTGCCTTTTCCACGTTCAGAGGAGCCAACCCTATGAGGTACCTGTTAAGTATTGACACATGGGTCAAAACTATTCACTAAGATATACAATGAAAGGCTAGATTTCATTGGCTGAAAGCAAAAAAAATACTGAAATCATGAAAATAATATACTTTGATAGGCCGTATGTGTGTGTGTGAGAGAGAGGACAAAAGAATTAGAGAAAGATTATTTATGTATTCAGGAGCAGTAATGTTATCTTACGGTAATGAATCTCCAATGCATAGGATACTCCTAATACAACAGGGTAGTGGAGGAAAGCAGGTTTTGAAGTTTTGCTGAAATTTATCAATGGGATTATCTCTACTATTTCTTAAGGGACCACAGATGTATGTGGTTTTAAATTATTTTGGTTGCCGGGCAAGGATGATTTTGAATATGTTCCATGTGCCAACTAGGCAATAAGTCATCATTTTTCATGTTGCACGTGTGAAATAGGGATAAGGTCTATATCTATAGGATTTTTAGAAGAACAGCTTCAGACAATTTATGTGAAAGTGGTAAGTAAATTCTGATTTTCTTCACAATGTCTGTTATTATCATTACTACATTTACTACATTGTCATGGCTCGTGATGAAAAGGTTTCCAACCCTGTTAACCAGAAGGCTAACATGATGTGATGAGGCCTCGTTTCAATCATCTCCTCAAATGAAAGACAATTGATAGTGTTCTTATCAAAAGTTTTGTCTCCTGTAGAGCTGAGTCTTGAAAATCACATGCTTTAGGCAAATACAGGGAAAAGAACAGCAGTTCTCATTTCTGACATAACTTCACATTGTCTTTTGAAAATTTAAGCCTGAGGATACATTATGTGCTTTCTTCTTTGCACCTGGTCATACACCTTTCAGTAAATGCTTGCTGTTAAAATGATAAATTGATGCTATTAAAACACTTTAATGCATAGTGCACCAAAAGTGCCTACTTAAAGGCTAGTTTCCCTTCAGAATTTTGAGGAAGATGCCTTCTCAGCTTTTCTTTATTGGCACAGTTCTTAAGAGAATGGGAATATATTTGTATGTGCTTGTGTTGCTCTAAGGGTCCACCAGAGATAATGTAATATTACTGTAAAAGCTTCAAGTGGCTTTAATGAGATATTCTTAGTTGGCAAATAGCTCATCTCTTCTTCTTCTTCCTCCCTTTCTGAAGGGTTGTGAGTTTGGCAGGTGATGAAATGATACTTTTGTTTTTGTCTCAAGCTCCTTAGTTTGACTTTTCTGCCCATTGTTTTTAGAGACAATGTATGTAATTTCTGAATAAAAGATGTCTAGACCAGGCACGGTGGCTCACACCTGTAATCCTAGCACTTTGGAAGGCTGAGGCGGGTGGATCCCCTGAGGTCAGGAGTTCAAGAGCAGCCTGGCCAACATGGTGAAACCTCATCTCTACTAAAAATATAAAAATTAGCCAGGTGTGGTAGCAGATGCCTGTAATCCTAGCTACTCAGGAGGCTGAGGCAGGAGAATCCCTTGAACCCAGCCGGGAGCAGAGGTTGTAGTGAGCCAAGATCATACCACTTCACTCCAGCATAGGCAAAAGAGCGAGACTCTGTCTCAGAAAAAAAAAAAAAGTGTGTTACATCACAGATATTTTAAACTTTTAAAAGTTTATGTTAGAAAAATCACACATTTTGGGAAGGCCTAATAAAGCAAACAAAAAAATCAGTGTACAGCTAAAATCTTCATTGTTTTGAAAGATACACAAGCCCGGTTCTCTCTCTATAATTACATGAAGATTATAAAGACACAGAGAATCTACTTGTATGTTCTTCTTGAAATTGCCTTGCCTCCTAGATGCTGTGTGGGCTTAAATGTATTTATAATATCAAGTTATAAGTGAATCCATCAGGTTTTGGAATATTATACAAGCATGACTAATTCTTCTGGAAAGGAGAAGCCATTTTTTCCCTTAAATAGCACAGTAATTTTATCAGTGTTGATTAAATACAATTTTAGAAGCCTCAGATGAGGAAAGCATCATTATTGTAAGTTACTATGTGAAATATGTACAGCAAATGCTTATTGGAGATAGAACTAGTGTATAGTCTTAATGAGGCATTTAAACCTATTTGGTGTTTTTGTTGAATATTTGCTGGTAATTTGAATGCTGTTTCAGAATTTATTACAATCCTCAGGCTGCAATGATATAATACTAAGATAAACTGAGTCCAAAGTGATGATTCAGGTATAAAGTAGAGATTTATTCGTGAAAACAGAAGCCTTTATTTTCATATTTTTTTCATTTTAGTAAGGAAAATATATGAAGTATCCCCATAAAAAAGGCAACAATTATTTCCCTCAACAAATGCCTGAACTTATTGTTTTTGCTTTCTCTTCAAATTCATATTTCCTGACTTTAATTTTAATTTGGTAGGACCACAAAGAAACTAATTTCTTTACTTGTAACAAGTCATCTCTATGTGCCTAAATAACACTGTGCTAGCAACAACTTCTTACCTTTCTGACAACTCCCACTGTCAACTGTAGACTAGTTAGAAGTTGGTACAAAGTGAAAATAAATACCTGGTTTCCCACAGGCAGTACTCTCAAATGCCGTCTATCATTTGTAATATCTCTGACGTTATTTGGTGGTTATGATTTATCACCTTGCCACTGCATTAGTCAGCTGTGAAATCTCTATGACTCAATGGCACATAACAAAAGTAATCAGGAAAGTGACGTTTGAATGAAGGGTTGGTGGATGGGTTTGAACAAGGTTTCTGTAACGTAAAGAACTAAGGCAGAGTAACTCCCCCAACTTTTTGAAATCTTCTCAGGTCAGCATTTCAGTTCTTTCTCTTCATTAGTTGATACCTGTAAACTTGGCAAATAATTACCATCAGTTGAAGACAACAACAAATATGGATTTATGGAGGAGTGACAGTATAGATTTATTCTTATTTTGCATTTAACCTTGTTTTTTTTTTTAAATTGTTTTCAGAATAGCCTTTTCCTAATCTTGCAAATCAATTTCCTACTGCTTTTAAATTTTCTTGCTACCCAGCTTTTTCCAAAGTGATAAATTGGTCACAAAATGATTTTATTATTTTAATAAGTATTTATTGAGCCTGGATTCTATGTTAGACATTGTGTAAGATGATGGGTTGAAGGAATGTGCATGACAGACCTGATCCTCTCTCTCAAAGAGATTTCAGTCTGATAAAATGAGTAAAATGTCTCACATTTACTTTTCTAGATTAAAGGTCCTTAGCCTTATTGGGAAAATGCTCATTTTCAAGTCTTGAAGAATATTTCATATACAAGAGACTTGGCCATGCTATACTTGAATATTTATTTCAAGCTACAGCTCTCTTCATTTGGAAATGTGATGCAAAGGTTGGCAAGAATATGACTGACCATTTAGGCATCTGCCCCTCTTAGCTCTATAGATTCTCTAAACTGAAAGTTTATATTACGTTCTATTTCCTTGTCTTGCAAACAATATTTAACCTCCTGTGGGCTAAGATGAGGAGTATTGAGTGAACTTATTAGAAAGTTTCACCACTGGAGCTCAGTTCCCTGGTTACAAACATCATCCAACAGCATTAGCCAGGAATTGTGATATGCTTGTCATTGCATCCAAGGGAGATTGGGAAAGAAAAGATAGAGGTTTTTAGGTAAAAGTCACTGACAATAATGGAAACATGATTTAATCACAAACTTTAAAAGAAGCTGAGCTCCCTGTGAAAAAGAACTGTGCATTATTCATTTTTGATGTTAGCAACAGCTTGGATAATGTCTGAAACAGGTTGGTAACAGTAATACTATCTATCCGTTGTTGAAAGCATAGAGTGTCAGGCATCGTGCTAAAGGTTGAGTGAGAAGTGCCAGCGTGATGATGAGTTAAGTGAAAAGTACCAATGCGACGATGAGTCGTTATTGTACAGGAGGAGGAGAGAGGCATAAAGATTAGCTGGTAGACCCTGCAGAAGTTAATGTAATAATTTTGAAAGAAATTATGTTAGCCTTCCAGTCCTCAGGAAGGAAATATGACACAATAGAGATAATACTTTGGAATGGTGTGCATTCTCTCAACTTCTCAATTATAAGAACAAGTATAGCCAAGAACACAGTAAGAATTGGATTACGAAGAACTAGGCACTCGTCTCATGGCCAGACTAAGCATGCTCCATTTTTGACTGGCCTGAGAATAGGAAACCACCTCATCTCCACCACAATGAAGTTAACAAAGACAGATGAAGTAAATAGTAATTTGGAATGTAGATACGTGTTTCTCTACCTTTAGTTTGGAAGACAGGTTTAAAAAATGGTCATGAAGAGAAAAATCTTTCTTAGTTACAGAAGTATTAACTTGGGCCTAAACAGTAGAGGAATATCCCTGGTATTGTGCTGTTTCTCCCCCTGTCCTGGTTGAAGTCAGTACGCCATAGTAAGTCACGCAACTGTTTTTCCACATTGCCTCACCCAGTCTACTCTTTGATTGGGGCTTAGGAGGAAATGCTGGGAAACAGAAACTCAAATTGGGGAGAGCTTGATGGTTTTGCTCTGTGTGTGTGTGTGTGTGTGTGTGTGTGTGTGTGTGTGTGTGTGTTGAGATAATGTTTCAGTCAACATAAGTCTCTTGAATCATTCTCTCTGGCATGACATCAAAGGTCTGGGCCCATCCATATGAGGCACATTGGTTAACTGATACCAAAGTTTGCACATGGATGATTTTGTTCAGTCCTCAGATCAATCTTGCCACATATAAATTATTCATATTTCCATTTTACTGACATATGAAATAAAGTTTAAAGAAGTTAGATGATTTATTCAGTGTCATAATGGCTAGATTAGTAGCATCAACTTCATATATGTCAGACCTTATTTTAAGGTGAACCAGGAATGACTAGAAATAAAGAAAGTTCTTGAGAGACTGTGCCTAGTTTCTAAAGGAGTCAATTACATTTTTTATCATATATAAGGAAGGGATAAGAGAGAAGATTGAGGTAGGTTTCTAGATGGCTTTTGCTACATTGAAGTTTTAGCATTAAGAAAAAGTGATTGAAAACTGAGACAGAAATGGAAGGGAGAAATTCTTGACCACACCAGAGGAACAGACCTGGCTAGTCAAATGGGGCTGCACGATTTTTTGCTTCAGTTCCAGGCAACTGGCTGGAGACTACAAAGAGATCATATCCATACAATCTTACGTGTCAGCTGTGATCTCATCCAATACCTTCGCTGCTAACGATGTCCTGCTAATGTAAATGTAAATGAGCCTGAAGTAGTGGCTTCACAAATCGAGCTCCAGATAAATTAACCCTTCTTCCCCTCTACTGTACACTGTCCTCAAGCCCAACTGTCCATTAACTGAACACATAACCGGAGATGCACACCCTCAAAATCTGCTCACAGCATTCTTCCCCTGTGCCTGTGTGGAAAATCCTCTTGGCATTTAAGATCATCATCTCCCTCAAGCCATCCTGTCAAAAAAGAAGAGCCTTAAGTGAAATGCTGTAGATCAGTGAGTTGGTAAACCAACTATGGAAACAGTGTGTTACAACCCATCAGACCTCTGAAAATATCCTACTTTGAAGATGTAAGAATGAGACAGACACATCAGAATTAGATCCCAGAGAAGCATATTGTATGTGGGTGGGTTCAGATAACCTTTTTAAATGATAAGAATTTTTCACTTCTCATTCCAACCTCAGAAACAGCTTTCAAACTGAGTTTCAATAGAGGGGTTATAGATTATAGTCATACAATATTATACAGCCCCAAATTATTGAGTATTTAATATGTGCCTGGCACTGAGCTAAGTGTATAACTGCAAGGTATCATTAGCCCCCTAGAAGCAACTTAACAGGTTGGAATTATTTTTAATCTCATTTTTTTCAGATAAGAAAAGAGACCAGAGAGGTAAAGTGCCCTATCACCCTATCTAAGGTTACAGAACTAGTCTTACTGATTTGATTCAATTGTAGATCCTTATGGATGTAATCCTTTTGCTCTTCAAATGTTAGATCACGCTGCTTGAAAACAAAGGCCAGAAACTGACAGAGGAAATGAGTCTAATGGAAGCAACACTTCTGAGTACCTAATATGTGCTGGGTACTTTATCAAGAAAAATATTCAAAGTAGAAAGGATATTTTATGTGTTCCTAGGGTCAGTCGAAGACATGCCTTATGGTGGAATACAACTTAATACAGGAGTCTGATGAATGTCTCACAGGTAAGATAGAAGTCTGGGAGGAAGGATCTGATTCTAATTGTTTAGTAGAACTAAAAATTTAACTAGAGAAAAAGCATTAATCAGAAAGATGGAATGGGAACTGTTCTGTACAAGAAATGACAGCAGCTGTTTGGAAGAGAAAACTGGGGGATTATGTGTAATCTCTACTGGGTTTTCAAATAAACTACAGGGCTAAAAGGACACATAGAATGGATTTGATAGAGAAAAGGATTTTAGATTTTGAAATCAATGAACAATACTGGGTAATAGGGATGTGGATCGGTAGGCTTGCTTGTAGCATCAATATATTGAAGTATTTGTATTATTTAATAGCAGATTGTATTATTTGCTTTTCATAAAAGAACTATAATTGATCTTTGAGAAGTCTGGTGACAGAAAACAGGTATAGACTGATGATTGGCCTTATTAAGTTTAAATATTTGAAAAGTTATAATTCATGCAAATGTTTAGCTTTTCTTTCTTTCATTGTGCAAGGGCAAAACCTGCCTTGGCTGGTATTTACTTTTCTAATTAGAAAAGCTTGAGTGATGTGAACAATTAAGATAATACAATACCTTTACAAGATAATTAATCTTTTCTTTGTGATTCATCCTATCACATCCCAAGCTGATAATGTTATTTACCTCCCAGTTAAGGGTATGTTAGAATGTAATTGGAGCCATTTGCTTTGACTATCAGAGGAGAAAAGATCATGCAATTTGCATCTCATCTATCTAGAAATTAAAATGGAAGGACTGACCACTTGACACCACAGAAATTCCTGAAATGAAGCCTGCTGAGCTCAATTTGTTGTGGCGGCTAAATGATTCTTCTCTCCAATTTGAATGCATGATGAAACTCCTATTAGAACATCGCACTATAATAATTGACAACATAATGAAACTGCCAAAGATGAAATGCAAATACTTCTCTGCTGACCGTTCAGAACTGCTCTCTAAACTTAGAGTGAAGCAAATGCCTTTGCCAGATGAGTTACATTCCCCTTTATTCTACCTTCTCTCTATCCATCAGGGGCTACTGCAACATTCTTTTGGACACCTATCCCTTTAGAATCAAGCAGTTTAATTAGCACCAACAGTAGGTTTCAGATTTCGGAATGGCCTAACAGGTATACAGATTTAACTAGAAATAATATATGAAAACAACTACTCCTATCTTCTATTAGTATTATTTTATAAAAGAAATGTATTTCAGCATAAAAATGTAGAAAATGTTATCCTTCTATAATAATTTTGTAACATAATTTAGCATCACTAAAACTATAATGTTTTTAGTTTTCTGGGGTTTTCCTCTGATGAGGTACCACCTCTGGTTTTTAGAAATCACTAATTTATATACACTAGCTCTACCTGTTGTTGTTGTTTTTAACTAACCTTTAAATCCATTATAATTTGGCCTCTAATCCTTTTAAGATGCCTAACTAGTAACATATTCAGCTGCTAATTCAATGATCACTGTCTCCTTCATTTGACTGAATCTCTCATCAGCATTTAACATTAGTAATCAGTTTTTTCTTGAAAAAAAAAAAAAGAAACCTCTGTTTCTATAGTTTTAACTACTCCATAAACTCTTGCCTTTTCTCTAGAGTCATTCCCTTCCTTTTCTACAATTTCTTCTTTATTGTAGAAAGGTTGGTGTTTTTCAGGATTCTGTCTTAATGCAGCTTCCTTTCTTACTCTGCACATTCATCCTGGGTGATCTTTTTTATTCCTATGGCTTTAACTAATCACAAATTTTGATCCAGGTGGGATCTCATTTCTTAGAATCAGATCAATATCTCCAACCATTAGACATTTCCAACTGAATACCATAAAAGCATTTCAAACAAATCCCAAACTGAGCTCATCATTTCTCCCTATGCTTTTGTGATTCCTGACTCTGTATGTAGAATTACTGTTTTTCTATTGTTGAAGCCACACATGTAGATATCATCTTGACTCAGTCATCAAGTCCTGTTATTCTGTCTCCTAATTCAAGACAATATTACTTTGCACTTGAAATCCTTCAATAATTGTGTCCCTGCCGACATTGTCCCTGAACCATTCTCTTCACTACAACCAGAGCATGTTTTTAAAAAACACATCTGATTACATCACTTGCAGATGATGTTCCAATGGCTTCCCCTGTACCATTTGGAGAAGATCCCCTAGCTTATAAAACCCTGCACACTCCTGAGCTGCTCCTTGCATATAGCTCCAGCTGATTCTTTAATTATTCTACCAATGTCTTTTAGCACTCCTTCCACCTCCATTCAACATTGGAGAAAATCCTTCTTTTTTCATATAAATTATAATCAACAAAACAGGTTTTAATTCTCTTTACTTAAATATTTTTGGAGACCAAGGATATGCATTATGTAAAATACATAAAATTATAATGAGGCAATGAAATATATTCATTAACAGCATGGGCTTTGGAATCATGAATCCTGATATATCTAAATATTATCTCTTCTGATCTCAATCATATTACTAAACTACTTCAATTTTCTAATATGTAATATGGAGATAATATTACTACATGTCTTTCCAGAAATGACATTTGGTTTACATGAGATAATACTGGTTCAGCTTTTAATACAATCTGTTTGGAGGTGTTTTGTCATTTTTGTTATCACGTATGATGTGGTTTGGCTCTGTCTCCCCACCCAAATTTCATGTTGAATTGTAATCTCCACATGTTGAAGGTAGGGCCTGGTGGGAGATGACTGAAACATGGGAACAAACATCCCCTTTGCTGTTCTTATGATAGTAAGTTCTCATGAGATCTGGTTGTTTAAAAGTGTGTGGCACTTCCCCCCTTCGCTCTCTCTCCTGCCACCATTAGAAGAAGGTGCTTGCTTCCCCTTTGCCTTCCACCATGATTATAAATTTCCTGAGGCCTCCCAGTCATGCTCCCTATTAAGCCCATTGAATGATGAGTCAATTAAACCTCTTTTCTTTATAAATTACCCAGTCTCAGGTAGTTCTTTATAGCAGTGTAAGAAAGAACTAATAAAGAAAATTTGTACCAGGAGTGGGGTACTGCTATAAAGATACCTGAAAATGTGGAAGCGACTCAACTCTGGAACTGAGTAATAGGCAGAGATTGAAACAGTTTGAAGGGCTCAGGAGAAGACAGGAATATGTGGGAAAGTCTGGAACTTCCTAGAGATTTGTTGAATGGTTTTAACCAAAATGCTGATAGTGATATGGACAATGAAGTCCAGGCTGAGGTAGTCTTAGATGGAGATGAGGCACTTATTGCAAACTGGATTAAGGGTAACTCTTGCTATGCTTTAGCAAAAAGACTGGTGGCATTTTGCCCTTGCTCTAGAGATCTGTGGAACTTTGAACTTGAGAGAGATGATTTAGGGTAACTGGAGGAAGAAATTTCTAAACAGCAAAGAATTCAAAATGTGACCTGGCTGTTTCTAAAAGTATTTACTCATATGCATGAATTAAGAGATTATCTGCAACTGGAACTTCTATTTAAAAAAGAAGTGGAGCATAAAAGTTTAGAAAATTTGCAGACTGGCCATGTAGTAGAAAAGAAAAACCTATTGGCTAGGGAGAAATTTAAGCCTGCTGCAGAAATTTACATAAGTAAAGAGGAGCCAAATGTTAATAGCCAAGACAATAGGGAAAATGTCTCTAGGGCATTTCAGAAACCTTCAAGGCAGACCCTCCCATCACATGTCCAGAGGCCTAGGAGGGCGAGATGATTTTATGGGCCAAGACCAGGACTGAGATGCTCTGCGTAGCCTCAGGACATGGCACCCTGAGTCCCAGCCACTCCAGCTCCAGCTGTGGCTAAAACAGTCCAAGATATAGCTTGACCTGTGGCTTCAGAGGGTGCAAGCCCCACGCCTTTGTGGCTTCCACTTGGTGTTGGGCCTGCGGGTGCACAGAAAGCAAGAATTGAGGCTTGGGAACCTGCACTTGGATTTCAGAGAATGTATGAAAATGGCTGGATGTCCAGGTGAAAGTCTGCTGCAGGGGTGGAGCCCTCATGGAGAACCTCTACTAAGGGAGGGCAGAGGGGAAATGTGGGGTTGAAGCCCCCACACACAACCCCCACTGGGACACTGCATAGTGGAGATGTGAGAAGAGGGTCACTGCACTGTCCTCCAGACCCCAGAATGGTAGAGCCACCTAAAGCTTGCGCTATGCATCTGGAAAAGCCACAGGCACACAACACCAGCTTGTGAAAGCAGCCACAGGGGTTATACCCTGCCAAGCCACAGAGGCAGAGCTGCCCAAAGCTGTGGAAGCCCATCCCTTGCATCAACATGCCCTGCATATGAGACATGGAGTCACAGGAGATTTATTTGGAGCTTTAAGAGTTAATGACTGACCTACTGGGTTTCTGAGTTGAGTTGCATGGGGCCTGTAACCCTTGGGTTTTGGCCTATTTCTCTCATTTGGAATTGTAGCATTTACCCAATGCCTGTACCCCCATTGTACCTTGGAAGTACCTAACTTGTTTTTTATTTTACAGGCTCATAGGCAAAAGGAACTTACCTTGTCTCAGATGAGACTTTGAACTGTGGGCTTTTGAGTTAATGTTGTAATGAGTGAAGACTAGGGGACTGTTGAAAAGAATAATTGTATTTTGCAATGTGAGAAGGACATGAGATTTAGGAGGGGCCAGCAGGGAATGATATAGTTTGGATTTGTGTCCCCACCCAAAGCTCATGTCAAATTACATGAGGGGCCTGCTGGGAGGTGACTGGATCATGGGGGTGGATTTCCCTCTTGCTGTTCTTGTGATAGTGAGTGAGTTCTCATGAGATCTGGATGGTTTAAAAGTGTGTGGCACTACTTCCCCCTTCAGTCTCTTTCCTGCCAGCATGTGAAGAAGGTGCTTGCTTCCCCTTCACCTTCCACCATGATTGTAAGTTTCCTGAGGCCCCCCGAGTTATGCATCCCGTTAACCCTGCAGAGCTATGAGTCAATTAAACCTCATAATTAAAACTTCGTAAAGTAATCAGTCGCAGGTAGTCCTTTATATCAGTGTGAGAACAGATTAATACAACACATAAAATGTTTTAACTACTCTCTCTAATATTTAATATTATGTAATTATTTATACTTACTCAATTTAATCTCTCCTCACAAGTGAAAGGAAGCCTTGTCTATTATTATCTATTCTGGCAAAATTTGGGCCTGAAATATGTAATATTAATTACTTCCTATTGGGCTATTCCCCCATCTAGAATGTATTCTTCCCTCTCTCGATGATTGAAATTCCATTTATATTATCATCAGGTTAGTTAGTTTAGGGTAGTCCTTCTCCATGAAGCCTTCTCAGATATCTGTTATTCCTTTGATTTTTTTTTTTTTTATCAGAGCTCCTGTTATCATTGGTGCTGTAATAGTCACATTGTCTTGGAAAGTTCTTAAACTACTTCATATGCATAAAATATTTAGCTTCTCAGTTCTCTCAGCAGCATCCTGTGCTTGGCCTTGGCTGAGCTCATGTTTGAACTAGATTTCAGAGTGGCCTTTACAATGATTTACATTTTTCCTATTCTCTTACCTTTAGCAGGTGTTTTCAACTATTATTGATAAATCTTTATTTTAAATGCTACTTGTTAATAATTTTGAAATTTCTTCATTTTTGAAAAAGCAAAAAAAGAAAAATGACACTTTTTAGTGTGTTGGTTTTCTTTAAAATTGAAAATCTAGGTTCTGTACTTTATCCCAAAGCAAAAAAATTACACACTGCTTCCTGCACCTTACCCTCTTTGGACATTTTCTAGATTTGTGATTACTTTCTAACTTCCTTTCTTTTTTTTTTAGTCTGCCTAGATCAATTTTGCAGGTGTCATTCTTTCTCAGGAAAGGTAGCTTTTCATTACTTTACAAGGATGGCAAATGCACAGTTAAAGCAGAACACTGTGTCATTTTATTAAACACATTAAATGTTACACATCTGCTGCACCCCGTGCTGTGGTGGATGGATACCTTCACCAAGAAAAAATTTAAGGGAGGGCTGTAGCAGTGATAAAATATGGGAGAAAATCTTTCCTTCACTATTTTCTCTTAAAATTCTAGCTATAGACAGTAAATCACATCTCTACAGTAGAATCTAGGACTCTCATTACCTTTTCTTTTTCTTTACAAGTCAGGCATTATAAATTTCTTATTTCTCTTTCTAAACACCCTCTTTCTGTTCTCTACCATTAAAACTTTCTCTGCAGAAAATAGGCTTTCGGGCAGCCTTTTTCTTGTATCAAAACCAGAAATCTAAGCATGGAGTGTCTTAAGAAATCATGCAAATATTCACTTGAAAATAGACATTTGTATCTTGCTTTTTGCCAGTATTGTTTATGGTTTATGGTTGGTTTCAAAAAAGATTTGAGACCTATCATACTGTGGACTGAAAGTATTTTTTATTTTCTGCCTCCTTTCTTTATGTGGAAAGAATCGATGTCTTTGAAAATAAAGAAAAGAGACAGGCCTTTAGCTGTGGGTTTTATATAGTTCTAGATTTTTCACTATGTCCAAAATTATAGAGAGTTGTTTTAAAAGTCAGCTTCCATCTTGGAGAAATGTATGTGTGTGTGTGCATGGGCACGTGTGTGTGTGTGCAATGAGAGGAATTGGCACAGGGGCAGGGGATGGATAGGGGTCTACTTTTCACTCAGTGACAGGCAGAGGAACTGAAATTTGTTTCAGTGTACTCTTTTATGTATTGACTCTCTCACAAGATTGTCAAAGAGAAGAATTCTACAGCAAATGGTTTGAGAAGCCCAAAATAGGAAGAATGATTTCAGTTGATCAAAACAGAATGGGATATATTGTATGTGATTAAGCATTCTTTTGATATGGGTTTCCTAAAAGGAACTTGCATTTTTAATTTGTCGGCCCAAACTGCTTGAAATCTGGACTGAGTATGTTAGTTCTATGGGCATTTCCTCTGTAGTTGGTTTAGTGATAACTGTCACTTCATCTTTAATTTTTATCCTTTAATGAGGACATGCAAGTGTGCCTATGGAATTTTCATATTAACGTCAGAGTGATTTAAAATGGATCATAAATGTAAAAGAGAGAAAAAAGTCTGTCTTCTAGACTCAACTTTTTATTTAATCCTGTGGCTGGTGACAGAGGAGAGAACCAACTGATAGGGAGATTCAGCTTCTCCTCCAGGCATTTCCTCTGGGGCCTTTGGGGCAGAACCAAGCACAGCCATCTATGAATCAGCTTGTCCATTCCTGGGCCACCCAGCATAATTGAAAGCACTGACTCTAGGCCATTTCACCCTTGGGAAGGAATGATGAAGTCAGGGCTTCTAATAATTGCATCTGATTATTGCCTCCAGTTTGGAGATAGAGAATGAAGCAGAATGAAGGAGAATCTCCGTCCCACATGAGCTCATTTAGAGCAATAATCATGGAGGAAAGGATCTTTGGTTTGCTTCAGGATTCTTCTTTAATCTATTTTAAACTAAGCAGGTGAAATGTTTGATTTGCAATGTAGGAAATCACACTTATATTATGATTGTTATAGTGATCCCATGTACAAACAGTGTAATGGCCAGAAACTACCTAAGTGATGGTCTTTAGGCCATCAGCATTCCCTTCTTGTCATAGGCAAGGCATACCCAATCTTATGTTGATAAATATTAGGAAGAAGATCTCAAATGAAATGCAGAGCTCAACACAAATGACTACAATGCTCAAGTAAATGTTGTGTTCCATTTGTGCTAAAATGCTCTTTAGCATTCCAAGAGAAAATAGTAGTAAATTTGGGCTTTGGTTTAAACCATTTTGTGAAAATCTGAACTATGTGTAATGGTGATAATTGTCTCCTATTAGCAAAGAGTGAATTGTATTTAAACAATAATTGCAGACAAATGACATGTAAATCAATATATGAAAAGGCATCAAGCTGCATACATTATCAATTTCCTGTCTAGCTCTTCTCTAAGTTAATGCTCTGAAAATATGATTTATAGTATGATTATAGTATGAGTCATTCTCTGAGATATAATAAAGTTTTATAGAATTTTTTAAAGTTTTTATTCTAGTAGTACTGAACAACTGTAAAAATGTGACTATGAGATTATCACAACACTGAATGTGTTTTAGAGAAATGATGAAAGATGTATATGTAAGAAGTTTCTAAACATCATCTTTTATTTCAGGAAAAAATATTCATTTGTTGGTTAAAAAGTGATATATTTTATATGAGAAAATAGAAACAATTTTGTTATTTTTACAGATGATTTCAAAATATAAGGCAGGATATGTAGGGACTTGGTGTAGATAATTCAACTCTGCACCAGAGGGAAAGAAAAAAATAATGAGAAATAATGTTTGGTCTGCAAGTCAGGTGACTTCAGTGTGGAATTTGTAGTGATCTGAGCCTACAAACTAATTTATAAAATTCTTGATGTAATGAAGCCTCTTGTCTAATCAGGCATAATGGCTAAAGTTTGTGGTAATTGTGACATGGTAGTAGAATATAATATCAAGTAGGGATGAAGGAAATGAACCATGCTTTAGCACCAGATATTAGCAAAAAAGTGTGAAATTCTCAAGCATTAAATTTGTGTGTTTAGAATGTTCTTGAATGATCTTAAAGTCAAGAAGACCCCAGCTGACACCTGTGTTGAGTTAAATTAAAACATATTTATACTTCAGCCTATTAAAAACTATAGACAGAAAAATTTTCCTCTCTTGCAACATGAAAATGATTTTTGCCTATTTAAGATGTGCAAATGAATATTCAAAATAAAAATATATCATCTATGTAACTAAGGGTACAAAAAATGATTAATATGGATTTACTATCATCTCAGCTACTGACACCTTGTTTATCTGTAATAATTCTAGCCATTAAATGTAGAAATTAAGTGATGACTTGCCTCAAGAGAAAAAGAGGCCACAGTTACAATTAATTATTTTATTTTATTTTGTTTACCATTCTGTTAGGTAATGTACTGATTTTATAAGGCATGTGCATGTAGGCGATCTCCCTTACATTGACTAGATCATGTTAATTACATCTTTTCTCTTAAAACAGTTCTAATGTTTCTACATTTGTGAAATACATGCTGTGTATTCAGACTAAGAGGAAGAATGGCAAACTGTGATTAATGAAAGACTCTCCTTACACAATAATAAAACATTAGTGTTCTTTTAAATCAGGGATAAGAAAAAGATGTCCTAAAATCAATATAGTACTGAGTATGCTAGAAAATACAATAAGAGATAGAAAGAAGAACAGAGAAATTGAAAAGTCAGAGACAAAACAGTGCTTATTTACAGATTATATAACTTACATATCAACCCCAAGATAATTTACACATAAACTATTAACATTATTAAGAAAGGTCCACAAGATTGCAAGTTCTGTGATTCAGGTAAAAAATTATCAATATTCCTACATACCCACAGTAACCAATTAAAAATAATAATAGAAATGAGATTATATTAGAAAAATAGTAAAAATATAAAGGAATGTATCTAGTAAAATATATGCAAAAACTGTATAAAGCAAATTATAAAGCATTTTGGGAATATAAAAGTAGAACACTTCAAGTTGATAATTAAATTCAATGTGATTTCAGTCAAAATCACAATTTAGTTTTTCCACAAGACATAAACTAATTGTGAATTTCATACAAAAGGAAACAAGATGGAGTAGATGAATGTCTCTCTATTCCTACTACTGAATACAACCAAAACTCTGTATATTATACATAAATCAAATATAAGATGACTCAGAAATGTAGAGAGAAGAGAGGCTGGCTAATAATGTCAGAAAATGATGAAACTTATGGTGGTGTGTTCCTAAGGTTTTCTTTTTTAATCTCATGTATCCTGGACTGGGTAATGGAAAATCCTTTAAGCTAGAAATGCCCAGTAGGTACAGAACAACAGCAACAAAAAGCCCACAAAAGCCTGCTTCCTCCAATCAAATGATTAGGAAAACAGCAGCATAGCACTCCAGAATAAAGCTGTAGTCCTCCTACCCTCATCATCCATCATAACCATGAAAATTAAAAAGACTGCCAAGACTAGAAGATTGTTGAATGAGTAGAAAGAACGCTGCTGGGCACAATGGCCCATGCTTGTAATCGCAGCATTCTGGGAAGCTGAAACAGGAAGATTGCTTGAGGCCAGGAGTTCAAGACCAACCTGGCCAACATAGACTCTCTCTCTACCCCCAATTTTTTTTTTTTAATTAGTTGGGTGTGGTGGCTCACACGTATAGTGCCAAATATTTGGGAGGCTGAGGCTAGGGGATTGCTTGAGCCCAGGAGTTTGAGGCTGTAGTGAGCTGTGATTGCACCACTGCACTCCAGCTTGGGCAACAGAGTGAGACCCTGTCTCAAAAGAAAAAACAAAAGAAAACAAAACAAAACAGGAAGGAAGGAAGGAAGGAAAAAAGAAGGAAAGAAAGAACTCTCAAACTCTCATCTGTTGCTAATGAGAGTGCAAGCTGATTTATTTTAGATAGCAATTTGGCAATATTTAGTGAAGCTAAAGATGGACATATGCTTTCACATGGCAATTCTAGTTTTAAGTGTATCACTAGTTAATAACTAATACCTATAAAAGAATATTTATTCTAGCACTTTTAGTGTAATGATTAATTTTATGTATCAGCTTGACTGGACCACAGGGTGCCCAGATATTTGATTATTGTATGATATATGATATGATATGATATTGATTATGTGTATTCTGATGTGTATAATAACAATAAAAACAGACCAAATTTAGAAGGTGTTAGAAAAGAATTTGAGGAATGTTATTCAGAGGTCTTTACTTACACCTGCATTGTCTTATTTCTTTAAAAATAATCTAATACAGTTGTCCCTTGGTATCTGCAGAGGATTAGTTCCAGTACCTGCTCCAGCACAGATACCAAAATCTATGCATGCATGCTCCAGTCCTGCAGTTGGCCCAAACACAGATACAAAAATCAGCCCTCTTCATCCATCCCTTTTACATCTCATGATACTGTATTTTCAGTGCACTTTTGGTTGCATTCAGGGCTATGAAACCACAGATAGAGAGGATCAAACATATTTATTAAAGAAGAAATGGCAAATAAGTGGACACTTGCAGTTCAAACTCATCTTGTTCAAGGGTCAACTGTACCCAGAATGTCTAAATGTGGGAATAATGGGCTTGGAAATAGATGCAATGAAGTTCAGCTGAAGACAAAATATCAGAATATAGAGCAGAGCAGTGGCCCATGAAATAGTGTTAACAGTTCAAGTTCAGCCATCATAATTTCCAGCAAAAATAAAAGAAACTATATTTCTAGAACAATAACATTATCCAGAATGTCCTCCACTTAATATTTGTAATGTCTAGAATATAAACCAAAATGAAGCAAAAAAATTATATAAACATTCTCAAGAGAAAAGAAAATCAGCAAGGTTCAACCCTGAACCAGATACTGACAAGAGCAGACAAGAATTTTAAACAGCTTTTATAACAATCCCAAAAGAAGTATAATATAATGTGCACACAGTGAAAGAAAAGACAGAAAATCTCAAGAGATAAATAAAAATGTTATCTGAGATTTTTAAAAAAATCACTGGAAGAACTTAATAGCCAAATGCAGATGACAAAGGAAATAGTAAGCACATTTGAAGAAGATATAATAAAAGATATTATCCCAGATGCAGAACAAAGGAAAAAAGACTGAAAACATGAACCTGAATCTGAGAACTGTTAGTTAATGCAAATAAATGTTCCAACAGGGCTGTGACTGAAATAAAAGAAGGAAAGAAAGATGAGTGGAGCAGAACAAATATTTGAATAATTTAATTAATTTTAAATAGTTTAAATAATTTAAATAGTTTAACGTTTTTCAAAGTTGATGTAAAAAGAAATGTACAAATAAATGATGCCAGATAAATATCAAGGAAAATACACATTAAGAAGTTTATGATTGGCCAGACGCGGTGGCTCACGCCTGTAATCCCAGCACTTTGGGAGGCCAAGGTGGGCGGATCACGAGGTCAGGAGATCAAGACTATCCTGGCTAACACGGTGAAACCCCATCTCTACTAAAAATATAAAAAATTAGCCAGGCGCAGTGGCGGGCGCCTGTAGTCCCAGCTACTCGGGAGGCTGAGGCAAGAGAATGGCTTGAACGCGGAAGGCGGAGCTTGCAGTGAGCCGAGATAGCGCCACTGCACTGCGGCCTGGGCGAAAGAGGAGACTCTGTCTCAAAAAAAAAAAAAAAAAAAGAAAAGAAAAAAAGAAAAGTAGTTTATGATTAAGCAAAATGTAGCAAAATTACCAAAAGCCAAAATTAAAGAGCAAACCTTAAGAGCAGCCAAAACAACAAACAAAAAACCCAAAACATTGCATAAGGGGGAACAATGATCTAACTAATGACTGGCTTCCATCAGAAGCTATGAGGCCCCGAAGATGGTGAACATGATTAAAATGCTGAAATAAAACAATGTTATCCCACAATTCTATATCCAATGAAAATAATCTTCACGAATCAAGGTGAAACAGAGACATTTCAGATGAAAAAAAATATAAAGATAATGTGTTGCCAGCAGATCTATTAAAGGCCCCAAAGGAACTTCTGAAGGCTGCAGGAAAATGACTTGAGATCGAAACTTGAATCCTCAGAATAAAATTGGAAGTAGTAAATATGTGGGTAAATGCAAAATTCTGTTTTCTTTTCTTTTAAAAAAAAACCACAACATGAATTAAAGGCACAATCATAACGTTGTCTTTTGAGGTTTCTTTCATATAGAATAAAAAGAATTGCAGCATTTCTATATTTTACATGAACTGATATAATATTAACTTTACATAAGGTATTGAAAGTTGACAAGTACATTATAATCTCTGTAGCAATAACCTAATTGTCATGACTAAAAAGCCAATATAAAGTTTAAGTGGAATTTAAAATATATGTAAATAATCTTAGAAAGCGGGCTAGAGAAATCCAACAACAAAGAAACAACAGCAACAACCAAAGAAAGGTGATAATGGAAAACACATAAAATGGTAGAAGGAAATCAAACATATCAATAAAGAATAACTACTTTAAAGGTTAATGGACTAACAATCTAAGTAAAAGGCAGAGATTTTTTAATGATTTTAAAAAGATAGGACCCAACTACACCCTCTCACAACTTGCTCTATTTAAATATCTTCCAACTTTGTTTCACAGAGTGATTGTGAATTATCTTCCACTGTCAAATAATAATACTGTAATACTATAATATGAATTCTCTCAATTGTACTGTATGAAAGTGGTGACCACTGACATAGAGACCACTGTCATGCTAATCTAGATGCTCACTTGGCCTCACAGAGTTTTAACTCCAAAGTCAAGTGAGTAAAACCGCAGGCAAGATACCCTGAAAACTCTTGTCTACAAACAAAGTAGCGGGCAGGGAAGCTGAGTTGAGGAAATATACTGGTCGGCCTCATCTCAAAAATTCAGGGCATGTAAGCACCTTTATGGGATTGGATTTGAACACTTTGCTTTCCTTTGTCACTCATTCATAACAACTGGTTTTTGAAAGGCTTTGTGCTGTTCCCTTAGCCATTGCTAGGCCATTTACCCAAGACATAGTTGGGACATTCAGTAGAATAAAGACAGCCATGATTTGGGAAACATCAGTAGTTTTGAAAAGAAAATGATCAGGTAGGACTAAATACACCCTTTTTCCCCCTACTTTTATCAATAAATCTTTCAAAATTACACATTCATACACTTAGAATGATTTTAAATTTTATATATTTGTCTAGCCATTCAAAATCTTTTGGATTTTTTCTCTACTTTTATCAATAAATGGGATCTTTCAAAATTATACATTCATACACTTAGAACACAGAATGTTTTTAAATTTTATATATTTGTCTAGCCATTCAAAATCTTTTGGATTTTTGTTTTCCATCATATCCACAAAAATATGAAATTAAAATACAGTCTGCAATTTAATTGAACATGGGCATAATAACCACCAATAGCTGGATTAAATATGCCATATATATGGAAAGAATGAATACAAATATGATTCATTTGTGTGACTTTGCTATTATATGTTTGTTTTGAGTTTAAGAAACATCATTCATGCGATTTTGTGGTAATCTAGAAGGCTGGTGGAAGAAGATTGCAATGGTGACGAACAAAAAATAAATAGAAAGACAATATCAAGCTGACAAAGAGCAACCCAAAACATTTTTTTACATTCTTTTCAAAGGTTCTTCTTTTCTGTATAAAATAAATCATCAAGTGAAAAATTGGCTGCTGACAAATCTTAATTCTAGAAGCAGATAGAGTAAAGAAAAAGCTAAAATGTTTTAAAGGCTATAAAAATTTACAAGCCATCTTGGCTACTATCAGAAAAGCCACAGTGTTATTTTCATATGTTCAATGTCAGTATGAAGTTAATTAATTACGTTATTCAACCAGGATCATCATTTCAATAAAACAGGAAATTCATCAATTTTTACTCTTGAATCATTGATGAGATCAACTATTTGCTGAGAATATTAAAGAAGAATTTAAAACAACTTGTTTTGAGATTTGTTTTAAAAAATTCTGTTTTTTTTTAATGGCAGCTGTGATTTAAGATTGCACTCTTTTCGATTTATTTATATTGGAGTGAGTTCACCATCATGTGGGCAAAACTAACTCCACAGCCATAAATGTCAAGCTACACAACTTAACCACTTATTTTCTCTGTGGAATAATGTTGCTCTCTTCTTTCTTGCAGCTTAGGCTTTCTATAAATATATGTGTAAACAGCCTTTGTATATTATGTCTCTTCCTGTTTTCTGAGTTTTCTAAAAAAAACATTTTTCCCCATAATCCATGAAGTTACTGAGTTGAAAGAAGTCTTCATGGTGGATGACACTAAATGTTCTTTCCACAGAGCAATGTCATTAGGAAATTCAGGGACTCTTCTAGAGTTTAGAGAACATACAATTAAAATTGTAGTAATCTGGAAACATGGTACTTAATTACAGCCACATTCTTTGAGTTTCTCTGAACAGCAATGCTCTCTCCTGTCTCAGAGCACCTGCACACACTGCTTTCCTGTGCTCTTGCCCTCAGTTCTTTTTTTTTTTTTTTCTGAGACAGAGTCTCGTTCTGTCGCCCAGGCTGGAGTGCAGTGGCACAATCTTGGCTCACTGCAAGCTCTGCCTCCAGGGTTCATGCCATTCTCCTGCCTCAGCCTCCCAAGTAGCTGGGACTACAGGTGACCGCCACCATGCCTGGCTAATTTTTTTTGTATTTTTAGTAGAGACGGAGTTTCACCGTGTTAGCCAGGATGGCTCTCGATCTCCTGACCTCATGATCCGCCCACCTCGGCCTCCCAAAGTGCTGGGATTACAGGCATGAGCTACTGTGCCCGGCCACCCTCAGTTCTTATAGCACTCCTTGCTGCTCAGCCTCTAGAGCCCAGATTAAATTTCACCCCATCACAAGAATTTTTGACCACCATATCTAAATAAGTTCTCTGGTATTCTCTGTTAGACTCTTGCTTGTTGCTTTTACATACTGTTTTGTTTGTTGAATTATTTTTGTTTTCTGTCATTCTCTTCTTTTGGTGGGTGGGGGTCTTTTACACAAGAATGTCAATTAGATTAGGGACCACAGCTATTCAGTTTATTATTTTTATCCTCAACAACTTGTCCAGTTCCATGCATATAGTAAACCTTAAATGTAAACATCTTTACTGAATGAATTAGTGACTAAAGATAAACTAAGAAATGCAATCAATTCATTATCCAGAAAGGCATTCAAGGATTGATGGATAAAGTAGATTTAGATGCCATTTTTATCTGTTCAGATATATTTATATGTCAGTCAGGATAGGCTAGGCTATGCTACAATAACAAACAATTCCCCTGACAAATATCCATGGCTTAAAGCCCAAAGTTTATTTCCTTCTCATGACAAGCCCATTTTGATTCTGGGCAACTGTCCATGCACTTGTCCTCCATAAACAAGTGTGGCATTGAATATCTATATCAACACATGCTTCCATGGTTACAATGGCAGAGGAAGAGAGAAGAGGTAGAGCCCCAACAAACTAATGTTTCTATCCGAAAGTTACACATGCAAATTTTGTTCACATTTTATTGGTCAAAGCATGTCATATCACCACAGTTCACGTCAGTAGGTTGGGATAGTACAATCCTACCGTATGTCCAGGCAGACACAGAAACTAGGTAGCAGTGGAACGGCAGTAATGTCAGCCACATTAAACAAATTGAATAACATACTTGGCAGAGCTCATTCTTCATTTCATCTTCAGAGAAAATGCTGCTGTGTCCTGAGAGATGTAAAGGAAATGTAAAGGAGATTTCTTATCCAACTTCTCATATTTTCTGTGGTCACTTGAGAACCATTACAGTTCTGCTGAAATAATACCAACTTAAATTCAACAATGCATAATAGTTAAGTGTTATATAAAGTGGTAACAGACTAAGTAGCATTATAAGTAATAGTACAAGAAGGGGCTCTGTGAAATCACTGGATACTTGAGATTTATGCAGATTGGCATTTTCATGAAAAAAATAAAGAGATGACCTATAAATAAGAAAAAACCCCACACAGCAGGTAAGAAAAGTTGCATAAACAAAAGCATGTGTAGGTAGGTATAAACAATAGAAGGGAGGATTATTATTAGTTTGGTGCAGGGGTAAGATTACATAGTAAAGGACAGGTTATGTGGTGGTGGAACTCAGTAACTGAAAGAACAATTGGAATTGTATTTTGTGGTTAGTGAGGAGACGTCACTGAAAGAAAAACATTGTGCAAAAATACAAAAGTTCAGTAGTGTTCCTCAATTCACTTATCTAGAAATTAGAAGAGCTGAAATTTAAATGAGTGAACCTAAGTGCAAACATCTGTGCACTTACTGTTACTTTATATTGTGTCTCAGATTGAAGGAGAGGGAAACTAAAGTGTGAAGAATGTTCTAGGATTGTCATGATAAGGGGACTGGAGGCTAGCCATAGGCACACACACAGAAAAGGATATCTCAAAGGAATACACAGCTTGATTATATGTTCATTCATTTCTCAGAATAAAAGAGTTAACAAAGCTCCCTTTAGTAAATAAAAATTTAAAGGAATTCCCTGAAATGTGTCTGTCATTAAGGGCAGGTAATGAATAGCTTGAAAAAACACATTCATTTCTTGCTACACCCACAGGCATTAAGAACTATTTAAAATATGTTTGCCTTCGAAACACTCTCCACAGACACAATTAAAAACTGCCAATGCAATTTCTGCTAGCACCTGGGGCAGATGCTTTGCAGGTTTCCATAGAAGTAAGCTTCAGGAAACAGTTTTGTTCTAGAGACCAAAAATGTGTTACTACCCAAGTAACGAAAGTCTTTCTTTGACTTTACCTTTTTGAGCTCTGGGGTGTGTGTGTGTGTGTGTGTGTGTGTGTGTGTGTGTGTGTGTGTATTATGAATATACATTTTTATATATGTGCATATATTTGTGTATATTTATTTATAAAGGACTTTGCCCTTGCATGATGGTTATAATGAAAATAACTAGACACATTTTATTAGAAGAATGAAATGAGCGCAATAGAAATACAGTTTGTTAGTATTTTAATATTTTAACTTTAAAATTGCACCTTGAATGCTGCTTTCTAAAATGACGTGTTGAGAGTTGGGAGATCTGGGTGTGTGGCTAATTATGTGTCCATTGTCACACACAGGAAAAGCCACTTTGATGGCCTTAGATAACTCTTGGGGAAACCAGTTGCTGGCAACTGTAAGAGAAAAGTACAGATGAATCTTGATGTTCTCAGATTTTATAATATTCGTCTAGATGCCAAATAATAATTGTTAAAACACCATCCAGGCCTACGTGGCGAAACCCCGTCTCTCCTAAAAATAGAAAAATTAGCCGAGCGTGGTGATGTGCACCTGTAATCCCAGCTACTAGGGAGGCTGAGGCAGGAGACCTGCTTGAACCCAGGAGGCAGAGGTTGCAGTGAGCTGAGATGGTGCCACTGCACTCCAGCCTGGGCAACAACAGCGAGATTCTGTCTCAAAAATAATAATAATAATACTTGTTAAAACATATATGTGCCAGGCTGTTCTAAGCATTTTATGACAACTGACTCAGTTTATATTTATACATATATATACATATATAGTTACAATATAAATATATGTAGGAACAATCCATGCTGCCATGGATTCTGCCATAATGTTGCAGAATTTTGCTCCTTTGTTCAGCTAAAACTAGGATCTTGTCACATGACTAGGAAGATTTAGGCATGCAGACACGTTGAAGGGTGAATAGAGCAGGATTTTATTGGGCAAAAAGCAGGGGAAAGGAAGAAAAAAAGCTCAGGAGAGCGAAATTGAGTCTTGCTGACAGGCCTCCCACCTCACAGATTGATTCCCAGGTCACTATAGGAGCTGGAGAGCAGGTTCCTCCCCTGCAAATGGCATAAATTCCCTGTGGCTCCACCCACTTCCCCCAGCCCACAAGTCTGGCTCCAGTTTGCTGTGGGCATGCCCAGACAAGTCCTGGGCAGGTTCCCTCGTTTGCACAAAAGCCTCTGATGTAAACATTTGAGGGGCGAGTAGGAGATTCTCTGGGGACCCCTTTTTATCTGCCTAGGCATTTGGCTGTCTCAGTAACAAAATATCATAGACAAGGTGCTTAACCAACAGAAATTTATTTTCGATCACTTCTGAAGTCTGGAAGCCCGAGATCATCGTGCCAGTATGGTCAGATTCTGGGGAGGGCTCTGTTCCTGCGTGGTAGATGTGTGTTCACATGGCTTTTCCTTGTTGTGTGAATGAGGTAGGGAGGAGAGGTAGAGAAAGAGAAATGGAGAGGGAAAGAGAGAGTTTTCTTATGTACCTTCTTATAAGGGAACTAATTTCATCATGAGGTTACTACCCTCATGACCTCATCTAACCTTAAGTAACTCCCAAAAGCTCCATCTCCAAACACTATCTTATTGGGGTTTGGAGAATCAACATACCAATTTTGGAGGAACGCAATTCAGTCCATAGCACCTGTGAACCAGATACTATTATTACACACATTTTAAAATTGAGAAACAAAGTCACAAAGAGCTTAAATAACTGAATTGGGGCCACAGAACTTGAAATGGCAGAAATGAGCATAGTTAATGGTCTTTAAAAAATTTCTATGATACTTTTCTGAATCTGTCTAACTTCCAAAACATGTTCTTGATAGAGATATATTAGCTGCTTCCCATTCATATACCTTTCAGAACACCAGCAGGAAAAAATAAATAATAATGAAAATTACAGTCTTACAAATATGAATCAACATAAGAGTAATTTCAAATTGAAGAGGAGCAACCCATGTTTTCATACTTATGAAATTATTTTAAAGCATACGTTTACATTTTTAGAACAAATATTTAAATTTTAAAGAAATCAATATAAAGGACTATAAATAATGTATTACCACCTTTGACTAAAATTCTGTTGTATATTTAGAATAATCGGGAATATATAAAAATCATTTGATTTTATTTATTTTTATTATACTTTAAATTCTGGGGTACAAGTGTAGAACATGTAGTTTTGTTACATAGGTATACACGGGCCATGGTGGTTTGCTGCATCCATCTATCCATCACCTACATTAGGTATTTCTCCTAATGCTATCCCTCCCCTAGCTCCCTTCCCCACAACAGGCCCCAATGTGTGATGTTCCCCTCACTGTGTGCATGTGTGCTCAGTGTTCAACTCCCACTTATGAGTGAGAACATGTGGTGTTTGGTTTTATGTTCCTTTGTTAGTTTGCTGAGAATGATGGTTTCCAGAGTCATCCATGTCCCTGCAAAGGACATGAACTCATTCTTTTTTATGGCTGCACAGTATTCCATGGTATATATGTGCCACATTTTCTTTATTCAGTCTATCATTGATGAACGTTTGGGTTGGTTCCAAGTCTTTGCTATTGCGAATACTGCCACAATAAACATACGTGAGCATGTGTCTTTATAGTAGAATGATTTATATTCCTTGGGTACATACCTAGTAATGGGATTGCTGGGTCAACTGGTATTTCTGGTTCTATATCCTTGAGGAATCCCCACACTGTCTTCCACAATGTTTGAACTAATTTATACTCCCACCAACAGTGTAAAAGTGTTCTATTTCTCCACATCCTCTCCAGCATCTGTTGTTTCCTGACTTTTTAATGATCGCCATTCTAACTGGCATGTAATGGTATCTCATTGTGGTTTTGATTGGCATTTCTCTAATGACAAGTGATGATGAGCTTTTTTCATATATTTGTTGGCTGCATAAGTGTGTTCTTTTGAGAAGTGCCGGTTCATATCCTTTGCCCAGTTTTTGAGGGGGTTGTTTGTTTTTTTCTTGTAAATTTGTTTAAGTTCTTTGTATATTCTGGATATTAGCCTCTTGTCAGATGGATAGATTGCAAAATTTTTCTCCCGTTCTGTAGGTTGCCTAACAAATTCTGAAATTGAGGCAGTAGTTAATAGCCTACCTACCAAGAAAAGTCCAGGACCAGACAGATTCATAGCTGAATTCTACCAGAGGTACAAAGAGGAGTTGGTACCATTCCTTCTGAAACTATTCCAAACAATAGAAAAAGAGGGAATCCTCCCTAAATCATCTTATGAGGCCAGCATCATCCTGATACCAAAACCTGGCAGAGACACAACAAAAAAAGAAATTTTCAGGCCAGTATTCCTGATGGACGTCGATGCGAAAATCCTAAATAAAATACTGGCAAACCAAATCCAGTAGCACCTCAAAAAGCTTATCCACCATGATCAAATCAGCTTCATCCCTGGGATCAAGGCTGGTTCAACATAGGCAAATCAATAAATGTAATCCATCACATAAACAGAACCAATGAAAACAACTACATTTATCTTAATAGATGCAGAAAAGGCCTTCAAGAAAATTAGACACCGCTTCATGCTAAAAACTCTCAATAAACTAGATATTGATGGAACGTATCTCAAATGATAAGAGCTATTTATGACAAACCCACAGTCAATGTCATACTGAATGGGCAAAAACTGGAAGCATTCCCTTAGAAAACCAGCACAAGACAAGGATGCCCTGTCACATCACTCTACCACTCCTATTCAACATAGTATTGGAAGTTCTGGCTGGGGCAATCAGGCAAGAGAAAGAAATAAAGAGTATTCAAATAGGAAAAGAGGAAGTCAAATTGTCTCTGTTTGCAGATGACATGATTGTATATCATAAAACCCCACCGTCTCAGCCCAAAAACTCCCTTTAAGCTGATAAGCAACTTCAGCAAAGTCTCAGGATACAAAATCAATGTGCAAAAATCACAAGCATTCCTATGCATCTAGAACAGACAGAGAGCCAAATCACAAGTGAACTCCCATTCACAATTGCTACAAAGAGAATAAAATACCTAGGAGTACAACTTACAAGCAATGTGAAGGACCTCTTCAAGGAGAACTACAAACCACTGCTCGAGGAAATAAGAGAGGGCACAAACAAATGGAAAAACATTCCATGCTCATGGATAGGAAGAATCAATATCGTGAAAATGGACATACTGCCCAAAATAATTTATAGATTCAATGCTATCCCCATCAAGCTACCATTGACTTTTTTCACAGAATTGGAGAAAACTACTTTAACTTCATATGGAACCAAAAAAGAGCCCGCATAGCCAAGACAATCCTAAGCAAAAAGAACAAAGCTGGAGGCATCATGCTACCTGACTTCAAACTATACTGCGAGTTTACAGTAACCTAAACAGCATGGTACTGGTACCAAAACAGATACATAGACCAAAGGAACAGAACAGAGGCCTCAGATATAACACCACACATCTATAACCATCTGATCTTTGACAAACGTGACAAAAACAAGCAATGGGGAAAGGATTTCCTATTTAATAAATGGTGTTGGGAAAACTGGCTAGCCATATGCAGAAAACTGAAACTGGACCCCTTCCTTACATGTTATACGAAAATTAACTCATGATGGATTAAAGACTTAAACGTAAGACCTAAAACCATAAAAATTCTAGAGGAAAACCTAGGCTATACCATTCAGGACATAGGCACGGGCAACAACTTTATGTCTAAAACACCAAAAGCAATGGCAACCAAAGCCAAAATTGACAAATGGGATCTATTTAGACTAAAGAGCTTCTTCACAGCAAAAGATTTTTTAACTAAATAGGTTTTGCTTGGGAATGACTAAAATATCAACAGTTGAACAAGAAGAGCCAGGTTGAAAGCTGAGGGGCAAGATAAGAATTTTTTTCAGTGTGATTAAGTTGTTCTATAGTTTGCTATTTTGCAGAAGCTGCAAGGGAACTAATTATGTATAATGGTGAAAATATTTTCCTAGGCATTACCCTTCAAAATAGCTCTTTGTCTTAGTTCATTTGAGCTGCTTTAACAAAAATAACATAGACTGGGTGACTTATAAACTACTGAAATTTATTTCTCAGTTTCAGAGGTTGGGAAGTCCAAGATCAAAGCCCTGGCAAAATCAGTGTTTGGTGAGGGCCTGCTTCAGGTTCATAGATGTCCTCACATGGCAGAAATAAAAAAGGGAGCTCCGTGAGATCTCTTTTTAAAGGCAATAATTCCATTTATGAGAGCTCGTCCCTCTAGGACGAGGTCTAATCACCTCCTAAAGTCCCCAGCTGCAAATCGCAGCACATTTGGAGTTAGGATTTAACACATAAATTTGGGGTAAAGGGCATAAACATTCAGAATATTAAAAATTAAGCTCTGACAGATTTATCAGGCTTTATTTAATCTGATAAAATTAAGAAGAATGTCTACCTAAACTAATTATATCAGTGGAACAGACATATTAGCTTATGGGATAAAGTTTTATATGATAGGAAACACCACGTCCATCTTCCTAGTTGGGTTTTTTTTTGTTTTGTTTTGGTTATGTATAGGAAACAATTTAACTTGTGACAAAAAGAAAAGCTTCTGCTAATAAGTGTAAGCCTGAACACATTTCTCCATCAATGAGAACCTATTGGGAAGTGGCAATTTCACACTGCTTAACTGATTTCATTGCATTCCTGCAATTTTTCTTTTCTATTTAACCTCTGCTTCTGTTCCCTAATCCTGAAATAGACCAGTAATAGTCTACTTTAATTTTATCTAGCCAGAGCCAAAATAGCACAAATGTTAGAAATGTTTGTTTACTAGGGTCTCAGACTAGTCTTCTGAAAACATTCTTTTGCCTACTGTAGTTGACAGAAAATAGAAACTAAAATTTATATTTGACAAATATTTTTAAATAACTCAAGTTCCTAAACAGGACATCTAACTATGGTGGTTTTTCCTGAGTATAGTAACAATAATTCATATAATATTCCTAAAACTCATGAGAGAAACCAGGTATTAAAAAAATTGCTTAATACCCCCCAAATTTTTCTCTGGTCAGTGTAGCATGATGAACCTTTAGATGTCTAATTAGAATTTTATTAAGCATTGCTTGGTGTTGAAAAATCATGAGTTATGAGCCTGCTTTTTGTGATGTAAATGGGCTGGATAAGTTTAGATTTCAGTCTTAATTCTTTGAAGGATTTATAGAAATACTTGGTTTGGCTATAAATTGTTTCTTTGTTTCTGGTTAAATATGTAAGTCAAATGTGAAGAGGAATCAAGGATCTTTGTAACCAGGGAATTAATTTATTCAGGTTCTACTGGGTGAGAGCTTCTCTCAGCTAGATCTTCTGTTCATGATAATTCTTCTTGGAAATTCACTTTCTAAAATAGAAAGTCATTTTTCAAGGTACAGCTGATAACGTATCTAGAGAACACAGAACAGCCTGTTTTCTTTGAGCATTTATGATTAAAGGATTGAATTCAGGTCTTTTAGTGTATTATATATACTAAGGACAGAGGGCACTACTTAGTCATGTACTTGAAGCAAAAAGTAAAGTCTTTATAAAGATCTCAGAGGGAGGCTGACTGACATTATATATTTGCGCATTTATTTTTTTTATCAGAAGAAATGAAATGAACAAACTTTCAGTAATAGGATAATGTAATGAAAAATATTTTGTTGACTATCTATTGTTCCAAATACTTGCTTATGGGTTTATCTGGAGAATATTAGTAGTGGGTATCAAGAATAAACTGTTAAACACAAACTATTTGTTCTGGAATGTTCTTAGAAAAAATAGGTGTGCATGCATATATATATGTATACACATCACATATATACATATTCATGTATTTATTCATATATAAATGTATAATCAATTTGGAACCTTATATAGAGTTTTTTTTAGTTTCCCAAAAAGCAATAGAAAATAATATAAAACCTGCAGATTATATTTCTGTATTAGTCCATTTTCACACAGCTGATAAAGACATACCTGAGACTGGGAAGAAAAAGAGGTTTAATTGGACTCACAATTCCACATGGCTGGGGAGGCCTCAGAATCATGGTGGGAGACGAAAGGCACTTCTTTTGCCACAAGAGAAAATGAGGAAGATGCAAAAGCAAAATCCCTTGATAAAATCATCAGATCTCATGAGACTTATTCACTACCATGAGAACAGTATGGGCGAAACCACCCTCATGATTCAAATGATCTCCCAATGGGCCCGTCCTATAATACATGGGAGTTATGGGAATAAAATTCAAGATGAGATCTGGGTGGGGGCACAGAGCCAAACCATATCATTCCACCCCTGACCCCTCCAAATCTCATGTCCTCACATTTCAAAACCAATCATGCATTCCCAACAGTCCCCCAAAGTCTTAACTCATTTCAGCATTACCCCAAAAGTCCATAGTCCAAAGTCTCATCTGAGAGAAGGCAAGTCCCTTCCACCTATGAGCCTGTAAAATCAAAAGCAAGCTAGTTACTTCCTAGATACAATGATCGTACAGGTATTGGGTAAATACGGCTGTTCCAAATGGGATGAATTGGCCAAAACAAAGGTGTTACAGGCCCCATGAAAGTCCAAAATGCAGCAGAGCAGTCAAATTTTAAATCTCCAAAATGATCTCCTTTGACTTCATGTCTCACATCCAGGTCATCCTGATGCAAGAGGTAGTTACCCACAGTCTTGGACAGTTCCACCCCTGTGGCTTTGCAGGGTATAGCCCCCCTCCTGGCTGCTTTCACAGTCTGACGTTGAGTGTCTGCAACTTTTCCAGGTGCACAGTGCAAGCTGTTGGTGGATCTACCATTCTGGGGTCAGGAGGACAGTGGTCCTCTTCTCACAGCTCCACTAGGCGGTACCCCAGTAGGGACTCTGTGTGGAGGCTCCAACCCCACATTTCCCTTTTGCACTGCCCTAGCAGAGGTTCTCTATGAGAACCCTACCCCTGCAGCAAACTTTTGCCTGGGCATCCAGGCATTTCCACACATCTTCTGAAATCTAGGTAGAGGTTCCCAAACCTCAATTCTTGATTTCTGTGCACCCACAGGCCCAACACCACATTGAAGCTGCCAAGGCTTGGAACTTCCACCCTCTGAAGCCACAGCCAGAGCTTTATGTTGGCCCCTTTCAGTCATGGCTGGAGTAGCTGGGACACAGGGCACCAAGTCCCTAGGCTGCACATAGCATGGGGACCCTGGGCCTGCCCCTTGAATCCACCTTTTCCTTCTGGGTCTCCACGCCTGTGATGGGAGGGGCTGCTGTGAAGGTCTCTGACAAGCCATGGAGACACTTTCCCCATTGTCTTGGGGATTAAAATTAGGCTCCTTGCTACTTATGCAAATTTCTGTAGGTGGCTTGAATTACTCCTCGAAAAATGGGTTTTTCTTTTCTACTGCATTGTCAGCCTGCAGATTTTCTGAACTTTCACACTCTATATTTCCCTTTTAAAATGGAATACTTTTAACAGCACCCAAAGTCACCTTTTAAATGCCTTGCTGCTTAGAAATTTCTTCTGCCAGATACCCTAAATCATCTCTCTAAGTTCAAAGTTCCACAAATCTCTAGGGCAGGGGCAAAATGCCACCAATCTCTGTAAAACAAGAGTCACCTTTGCTCCAGTTCCCGATAAGTTCCTCATCTCCATCTGAGACCACCTCAGCCTGGACCTTATTGTTCATATCACTATCAGCATTTTTGTCAAAGCCGTTCAGTCCCTAGGAGGTTCCAAACTTTCCCACATTTTCCTGTCTTTTTCTAAGCCTTCCAAACTGTTCCAACCTCTGCTTGTTACGCAGTTCCAAAGTTGATTCCACATTTTCAGGCATCTTTTCAGCAACACCCCACTCCTGGTACCAGTTTCCTATATTTGTCTGTTTTCACACTGCTGATAAAGAGATACCTGAAACTGTGAAGAAAAAGAGGTTTAACTGGACTTACAGTTCCACATGTCTGGGGAGGCCTCAGAATCATGACAACAGGTGAAAGGCACTTCTTACTTGGTGGTGGCAAGAGAAAACAAGGAAGATGCAAAAGCAAAAATGCTTGAGAAAACCATCAGATCTCATGAGACTTATTCACTACCAAGAGAACAGTATAGGGGGAACTACCCAATGATTCAAATTATTGTGGGAGTTAATTCAAATTAACTCCCACAATATATGGGAGTTATGGGAGTAACATTCAAAATGAGATTTGGGTAGGGACACAGAGTCAAGCCATATCAATTTCTAAAATATTTCAGAGGAAGAGAACATTTTTGGAAGAGACTTATTTAACTGAATTATTTCTTTTGCAAATAGTGATTGATATCTTTTGTAACTGAATACCACTAAAATGGATTAAGTCCTTCTACTGCCCCCAATAATTATGTCCTGTAAAATTGTAACAAAATACTTATTTCTACCAGCACAGTTTTTCTTTGTTTAATATAGTTAGAATATAGTTAGGAAAATGAAATGTTTAAAATATCACAGCATCAATGTTCTCCCCCAAATATTGATTATTGGGACTGAAGACTAAATAAAATGTCTTGGACCCTACACTTTTAACACTCTGTTATCATAATTTCCAAAGGAAGAAAACTGCATTCAGGGCCAATGAGCAGTTTAAAAGCTGTGTGTTTTTAAATTCTGGGTCTGCTGATGTAGTTGTGCCCTCTCAAAGATCTCAGTGAGTTGTGGAGCCCTGGGGAGCTGTCTCAACCTTGGATGTGTTATTAAACCAGATGGCCATGCACAAACAGTACTTCGAGTAAATACTTATTACTTAGTAATGCAAATGCAATTCTAGTAATAAGCTTCACTAAAACCATTCTTGGAATACATTTTAAATAGCAAATGTATTTACAAACACACCATTCCCCTTTGAAATGAGCTGCAGGGAGAGTTTGAAGGAGGAAAGAGAATGGGAGTTCATGACCCAGACAGCAAATGTGCCAAAAAAAAAAAAAAAAGAAAGAAAAGAAATACCATATTTAAACAGATTTGCCTTCAGAAATATGACTAAATATCTACATACTTTTGTTTATTCTAAAAATAGTTCGGATACATTTTTTAAAATCAAGAATTAATTCATTAAAACCTTAGACCTCTAGCAAGTAAAATTACGGGTGTCAGAAAGAATCACACATATTTTATGAAGGCAAAACAACATTTTTAGAGAGTAGAATATTTCAAAGAGGAAATGTTTATGTATCAAGAAAGATATGGAAATATCATGTGGTTATTTGGAGGAAGAGGAAAGCAGTTAGAAAATAAGAAATATAGAGAGCTAGGAAAACCAAACACTTAGAGTAGGAAGATACACGTGATGAAATGTTAAATGTGAAGGTAAAAGTATAGATTATGTAATTCTATCTACAAAATTACTGCATATATGGTAATTGACATAAATACATGAAATGGTTGGGAGAAAGATTGACAAAAACATTTATTTGATTAGGCGATTTTATTGTAGATGATTTTTTGCCTTAAACTTTTTTAAACGTGTTTTTACAATAAAATAACACCTTTAAAATGTTAACATGACATGATCCGCCTGGAATCACTTTGGTAAATGAAGTATCACTAATCCCCTTTTTTATCTGGAAAGTAGTACCAGTAGTTACACACAGAGAAATATACATACGAAACCCTCCTAACTGTTCTCCTGCTTCCACCCTTGTCACTCCATAGTCCAGTTTATTTGCAGCAGGCGGGAAGATCTTTCTAAAGCACGTGTCATAACATGTCACTCCTTCGCTCAAAACAGTCTAATGGCTTCCCACCTTGCAGTTAAATCCAAAGCCCTCCATAAACTCTGTGCAGTCTGCAGCCTGCTCCACTTTCAACCTCTTTTGACTTCCTTTCCTATTCCTGACTCATTCTACAGCCACATCAGGCTCTGTCATGTCCTTTCCACACATAAGGAGCATCATTGCCTCCCTTCTTGCATTGGCTGTTCCCCGTGTCTGGATCACCCTGCCTCCAGCTGGCCCCAGGACTTGCTTGCTCCTTTTGTTCAGGTCTCTGCTCATGTCCTATCCTGATGGATACCTTCTTTCCTCCCAATTAGTCCTTATTCTCTTACTGTTTTTCCCTGATAGTATTTATTCCCAAGTGAGATATTATATCATAGTTTGTGTTTATGATCTTTCCCCTTGACTTGGATTTAAACTCCCTGAGGACAGGAGCATTGGGGAATTTTTGCTTTTTTTTTTTTTTTTGCCTGCTATATTCTCAGAGACCAGCACAGGACCTGGACTTAGCGATATATGAGGAATATGTATATTTTCCAACACCAGACATTCTCAGGTCTTAGGTGTAGACTTTGTAACAAACCAAACTTTTCCCATTAGGCTTTTTGTCCTCTTGCTTATCCTTAAATTAGCCTTTTCTACTGGTCCCATACCATTTAAGGAAAGGGTTTTCTCTTCTTTTATTTTCCCTCTTCTCTTCCTTCCTTCTTCCCTCCCTCCCTCCTTCATCCCCCCTTTTAATTTTTCAACTACAAAATATATCAATTTGCTTTTACCTCATTACTTTCTCCTATGTGATACACCCTAGAGTGAGACTACTTGTCATTTCTGGCAATACAAATACATATATAGACCCTGTCTCAAAAAAAAAAAAAAAAAAAAAAAAAAAAAAGAAAAGAAAAAAGAAAAAGAATAGTGGGATTTTATTATCTACAAATTTAAAACATATGTTTGTATATTTATATATATATTTGTTTTCAATGTGTGTGTATGTACATACATATTTGTATGTTTTAAATTTGTAGATAATAAAATCCCACTAGTCTCTTTTTCTTTTTTATTTTTCCTTTTTTTTTTTTTTTTTTTTTGAGACAGAGTCTTACTTTTTCACCCAGGCTGGAATGCAGTGGTGTGAACAATGCTCACTGCAGCCATGACCTCCAAGGCTCAAGCAATCCTCCCAACACAGCTTCCTGAATAGCTAGGTCTGCAGGCATGCATCACCATGCCTGGCTAATTTTTATATTTTTGTAGAGACAAGGTCTCACTACTTTGCCTGGGCTGGTCTTGAACTGCTGAGCTCAAGTGATCTGCCCACCTCAGACTCCCAAAGTGTTGGGATTATAGGCATAAGCCACTAGATGTTTAGCTTCCCTGTAACTTATTTTCTTTAATGTTATTTGGAACTGCATGATCTTAGAGTGTCTTTTTGCTGCCTTTGACCTCCTCCTATGGTCCCCATCAAATAGTAAAAAAGATTATGGATTCACTTATCTACAAAATACAGTTTTACCAGAGATGAGTAATGATGTGGTTTGGATATGTGTCCTGCCCAAATCTTCAAATCTCATGTTGAACTATAATCCCCAGTGTTGGCAGTGGGGCCTGGTGGGAGATAATTGGATCATGGGGGTGGAGTTCTCATGAATGATTTAGCACCGTCCCTTTGATCCTGTTCTCATGGTAGTGAATGAGTTCTCACAAGATCTGTTTGTTTAAAAGTGTGTAGCACCTCGCCCCTCTCTTTCTTGCTCCTTCTCCAACTGTGTAAAGTTCTTCTCCCTCTTTTGCCCTCATCATGATTGTAAGTCTTCCTGAGGCCTCCCCAGAAGCTGAGCAGATGCCAGCATCATGCTTTTTGTACAGCCTGCAAAACCATGAGTCACTTAAACCTTTTTTAAATATATAAATTACTCAGTCTCAGGTATTTCTTTATAGCAGTATAAAAACAAATTAATACTGAAAATTGGTACTGAGGAATGGGGCATTGCTATAAAGATACCTGAAAATGTGGAAGCAACTCTGGAACTGGGTAACAGGCAGAGATTGAAGTAATGTGGAGGGCTTAGAAGAAGACAGGAAGATGAAGGGAGATTTGGAACTTCCTAGAGACTTATTGAATTGGTATGACTAAAATGCTTATGGTAATATGGTCAATGAAGTCCAGGCTGAGGAGGTCTCAGATGGAAGTAAAGAACTTATTGGTAACTGGAGTAAAGGTCACTTTTACTCTGTTTTGGCAAAGAGTCTGGCTGCATTGTGCCCCTGTTCTGGGGATCTCTGGAACTTTGAACTTCAGAGTGGAGATTTAGGGTATCTGGCAAAAGAAATTTCTAAGCATGAAAGCACTCAAGAGATGCCCAGATGCTTCTAACTGCATACATTCATATGTCTGAGCAAAGAAATGACATAAAATGCAAACTTATATTTAAAAAGTAATCAGAGTGTAAAAGTTTGAAAAATTTGCAGCCTGGCCATGTGGTAGAAAACAAAAGCCCATTTTCAGGGGAGGAATCCAAGTAGGATGCAGAAATTTGCATAAGAAAAAAGGATCCAAGTGCTACTATCCAAGACAATGGTGAAAAGGCCTCAAAGGCATTCAGAGACCTTTGTGCAGGCCCTCCTATAACAGGCCCAGAAGCCTAGGAGGGAAGAATGGTTTCATGGGCCAAGCCCAGCGCCACACTTTCATGCACAGCTCCAGGACACTGCTCACTGGGTCCCAGCTGCTCCAGCTCTAGCGTTGGCTCAAAGGAGCCCAGGTATAACCTGGGCCACTGCTTCAGAGGGTACAAGCCATAAGCTTTGGCAGCTTCCATATGGTATTAAGCTTGCAGGTTCACAGAATGTAAGAATTGAGGCTTGGGAGTCTACACCCAGATTTTAGAGAATGTATGGAAAAGTCTGGATGTCCAGGCAGAAGCCTGCTGCAGGGGTGGAGCCCTTATGGAGATCCTCTGCTAGGGCAGCACAGAAAGGAAATGTGGTATTGATGTCCCCACACAGGGTCCCCACTGGGTACTGCCTAGTGGAGCTGTGAGAAGAGGGCCACCATCCTCCAGATCCTAGAATAGTAGATCTACCAACATCTTGTACCTTATTCCTGGAAAAGCCCCAGGCCGCTCGCACTCAGTGTGAGGGGGATAAGCCTTGGAAAGCTACAGAGTGGCTTTGGGAGCCCACCATGTGCTCTGCATGTGAGTGAGACATGGAGTCATAGGAGACTCTTTGGGCCTTTAAAATTCAGTGACAAGCCTGCTGGGTTTTACACTGGCATAGGGCCTGCAACCTCTTTCTTTTGACCAATGTCTTTCTTTTGGAAAGGGAGTATTTACCTAATGCCTGTACCCCCATTGTATCTTGGAAACAATTAACTTTTTTTTTTTATTTTATAGTTTCATAAGCAGAAGGGACTGGCTTTTTCTCAGATGAGACTTTGGACTTTAGAGTTAATACTGGAATAAGTTAAGACTTTTGGGGACTGTTTGGGAGGCATAATTGTATTTTGCAATATGAGAAGGACATGAGATTCAGGAGGGGCTGGGGAAGAATAATACAGTTTTTATATGTGTCCCTGCCCAAATTTCATGTCAAATTGTAATCCCCAGTGTTGGAGATGAGGCCTGATGCTAGGTGATTGAATCACGGAGGCAGAGTTCTCACGAATGGTTTAGCACCATCCCTTTGGTGCTGTTCTTGTGACAGTGAAATCTGGTTATTTAAAAGTGTGTACCCTCACCCCACCTTGCTCCTTCTCTGGCCATGTGAAATGCTGCTCCATATCTTGCCTTTTGCCATGATTGTGAGTTTTGCTGAGACCTCCTAAGAAGCTGAGCAGATGTCAGCATTACGCTTCCTGCACAAGCATGCAGAAGGATGAGCCTGTTAAACCTCTCTCCTCTATAAATTACCCAGTCTCAGGTATTTCTTTATAGCCGGGGGAAATTGACTAATAAAAATAATTGCACTTAGAATCTTTGTATAAATTTTCTTTTTACCCTTATAAAGCAGGTGTGGGAAATGACCTGCTTAGTTGAAAAAGGGAAATCAGTTATTTAGAGAAAAATGGTTATTAAAATTATCTTTGGTAGAGAAGATATGCCACAACTTTTTGAATGACTCTTACTAGCACACTGATGATCCTTCCCTTACTTGATAGTGTACAGCTTCTGTCTGACCTAAGGCTGGAGTTGCAGGCATATTAATGGTAGATAAGGATTTTGCTTTATTTACATTTTTCATGCAACACTGCTTCCTTTGGGACTTTTTAAGAAATGTAATTTATATAAATTATTTTACTTTTGATTATGGATATTTTCATTAAATTTAATAGATGTACATTGTTTGAAGCCAAATATATTATAACTTCCATTTCTAATAAAGATGGCTTTGATACCCAGACTAACATATAAGAGTGCTGCATAAGATGTAACAATCATATTATAGACCTTAAGACAATCAGGAATGGTTTTGATTCTAAACATGAAGTAAATGCAGAAAATAAGAGAACTTTGCACAGTCTTGGTACATTAGAGATGCTCAGTAAATTGAGTGTAAATTCCATTTATAAATAAAATATTAATTCTGATGTTTGAAGGATAAGGGCAGATAAAACAGGTATAGATGACATCACTCTCTTAAGAAAGTCAATGAAGTTAAGTTTATATACTCTCTCCTCTTTTCTCTATCTGCCTGATTTTACCCAAACTAAATTTTTATTTTAAAAGTCTTGCATTCTTTCATGTGTACTTTAAGCAAACCTTTTCAGGTAACATGTCTGAAAGTGTTTCCCTCTCCCAGAAATAAATGAAATAGAAGATTTCTCCTTGTTACGTAACTCTTACTTGCATATACCATTCAAATATTCATATTCTCTGTTACATCAACATAAAAGGCAGTCATTTCTTGCTTGTTTCTGTGCTTGCTTGTACATTTATGACATAAATAGCATCTGCAAATCTAAAACCCCTCTCCTAAGGAAAGCACCACACTTCATAAGAAAAGTGAGTTTCCTTCAATGATAAACAAACAATTGTGTGACTAGCGAAAGAGTCAAGGCATGCGAGGCTGACTGGTAAATTCTTATTAGATGCTCTTAAAATTGATCTCATTGTGGAAGATATTAATAGAGATTATACTAGAAACTGTAAACTGGAATATTTGCATCTAGTCATGGCTGGGTTTCCTTTGCCTGTTTTCTATAAATATCTACTGTTCAGTGAGATCTGTGAGTTAAACGTATATCTTTTCATAAACTGAGGTGTATTTATACTATGCACTTTTTAACTGACAGTGACCTATCTGGAAGTCAGAGGTTTGCAGTCCATTTCTGAATTGCTAAAGCTATATTCCCAGAAAGAAGCTAAATATAGCAGTATGGATGATAACTTATCAGAATGGCTGAACATATATATACATACATAGTACATGTACATATACATATGTAGTATTCCTATAGTACTATATATACATATATAGTATTAATATGCATATATAGTACATATACATATATAGTATTCAAATCATTTCTCAATTATATTTAAATGAATCCTGTGTCAACCAAAATGATGACAAATCCACTAATTTAGAACCATACATTTAAGCAAATTCATTTACAGTGATGGTTCTACATAACATAATATTCCCCAAAAGGATGATCAGCCAAATAATAATGTGAATAGAGGTTACTCCACAGAAGCATTAAGGATTGGTTCATTACTTATAGAAACAGAATTTACAGAGATGGGAAAATGATTACTACTAATAGAATTATTTTATTTCATAAGTTTGAGGTACTATTCAACATTATGTTATAAGTAGTAATTTGCCTGATGCTTTTATTGGAATAGTTGATTCATTGCTCATTTTGAACACTGATTCCTATGTCCTTCTAAAGATGAGCACAACTTTTGAAATAGGACATATTGAAGAAATTTTAAAACATGTTTGATAATAACATATTTATTTTTATTAACTAATTTTTTCATCGTTTTTGCATATTGAAAATGTTAGGTCACTGCATTGAAATTGCATATGCAAATTGTATTGCATATTGAAAAATGTTAGGTCACTGTAGGGGTGATGTGTGACTGAAAATGAAACTTAAAAAATTAAGATATAAAGTAAAATTTGTTTATAAATTAGGGTTCTTATACGTTTTCCAATCCAATGTCTTCTTTCCAAAAAAGCAACATTGTTGTAGAAAATAGTTTTGTCACATTAGATTATTGATACCAGTATTTAAAATTTGAAAAACTCTGCCTTTTTACTAAAATAAAAGATTTTTATTAATTTGTATAAAAATGCATGATCTCTATTATAGAATAATATTAGATGAATCATCCAACCTTCCATGCAATGAACATGTTTTCCACATTACTGCAGTTCACATATAGGTTTTATATACATAATATCTATATTTGATTATGAAAAGAAGAATGTTTAATGTTAATTTTTACCATAAAAAAAGACATAAAGAGATGGGAAATTTATAAATACTTTGGTCAATGGTCATTAGAGATTGGTAACTGATTAAAGAAACTGACTTGGGCCAGGTATAGTGGCTCGTGCCTGAAATCTTAACACTTTGGGAGACCAAGGTGGAGGATTGCTTAAGTCCAGGAATTTGAAACCAGCCTGGACAACATAGTGAAATAAAGAACAAAAAGAAACTGACTGTAATTGAGAACTTTGTCTTTTCAACTTTTAGGAGATATAACAGGCACCTAGGGTGCTTGCTACAAATATGGAAATCTGTGTATCTAAGCTTATTTTCCAAAATGAAAAGTTCCTAATCAAAGTAGGAGGAACAATCCATGATTAAAGCCAGGGTTGGGATGGAGAGATTGTGAAAAGGTGAACAATCAAAATCTGTGTGTCGACATGAAGAAGTGAAGGATATTAAATTAGGATGGGGTGGGGCTCTGGAACACAATGCTGGACAGCCTACTTCTTCTCCTGGACTCCATTCAAAGGCAAAGGGTGATCAGATCCTGGAAATATAATGCATACGATTACTAGGTCCCAGGAAAAAGGGATAAGGTGTGGTGGTTGATGTGTTGGAGATCCCTTAGACCACTCAGGCTCAATGATTCACCAAAAGGAGGATTCAGAAAAGCTGTTATACTCACAGTTACAGTTTATTGTAGTAAAAAAGATACAAATTAAAACCTGGAAAAGAAAAAAGATGCCTAGAGTGAAGTCTAGGAGAAACCAAGCACAAGCTGAAGCTCACAAGCTTCCTGTTGTCTTCTCCCAAAGAGTGGCACAGACAGTCTTAAATTCTCCCAGTAACAATTTGAGACAATACGTACAAAGTGCTGCTACAGGGAAGCTCACCTCTACCTTGGGACCTGAGGCGAAGGGCGGGGGTGGGGGTGGTTGTGTTTGTTTGTTTGTTTGTTTGTTTGTTTGTTTGAGATGGTCTCATTCTGCCGCTCAGGCTGCAGTGCAGTGGCGCTATCTTGGCTCACTGCAACCTCCGCCTCCCAGATTCAAGCAATTCTCCTGACTCAGCCTCCTGAGTAGCTGGGACTACAGGCACCCACCACCACGCCCGGCTGATTTTTGTGCTTTTAGTAGAGACAAGGTTTCACCTCATTAGCCAGGCTGGTCTCAAAATCCTGACTTCAAGTGGTCCGCCCGCCTCATTTTCCCAAAGTGCTGGGATTACAGGCATGAGCCACCACACCCGGCCGGAACTGGGGTTTTTAATGGGGTCAGTCATGTAGGCATGCAGCTCCTACTTGACTGACTGTGGCTACTCAGATTCTAGCCCCCAGAGGTCAAACCGATGTGATACAAAGCCTGCTATATATTAAAACACTCTTGTAAAGCAGTAGATTCCAAGGGCTCAGAGATTATCCCCAAGAGCTGGTCAAGGATCAGTCCTTTCTTTGGAAGATCCAGGATTTGAGTAACTAAGGCCCATTGAGTTAATACTTTACGGCACACATGGTAGTGTCCCAAAGAGATGATTATATCATAATTGAGCCTTCCAGGGTTTACCAAACATATTGAAGATCCTACAACTATTTTTTATGTGGCAGTGATGGATAGGCCAAAAGCAAGCAAGCAAATATATCTATTGCTTCTGAATCACTGGGAAGAAATACTTGAGAATTGAAGTTTCCTAAAGGTCTTTTTATGGTAATTTATTTTTGGAAAAAGGGGAAATACGTGCAAAGCTCATGACACTAACAACATTATGAAAAATGTCTGGCTTTCTGGATACCTTACACTTCCAGAATGATGAATTCTGACATGTAACAGAGGATGTCTGAGACTAGATGAATATTTATCATAGGAGGCCAATGGTCAGATCAAAAGAACTTTAAAATGAGAAAAGGTTTATATGTCATGCACAGAAGGAACCTAAATCATTTTTCCATCAAATATCTGTCTGGTTAGCCCTTATCCCATTCAAGTGTTTGCTCAAAGCTTACCTTCTCAATGATGTCTATCTTGACCACTTATATAGGCTGAATGCTATGAATTGCCATTTTCATAAGTCAAAAACAATTTCATATGGTTCAACCTAACACATGACTACAATGTGCAACAATTCTTTCCAACCTCTGTTCCCCAGCATTCTTATTTTCCACTCAGCCTAAAGGATTTTAAATTCTTTTCCCACCGTATTTAACCCCATCTGAAATACCTAAAATTGGAATTTATTGTATTTATTATTTGCTGTCTATCTCACCTCTGCTACAAAGATACATGGGCATAGAGATTTTTTTTTTCTTTAATTTATTCATGTATTCTAAACACTTAGAAAAGTGCCTGGTACATAGTTACAAAATTACTATTTGTTGGAAAGATGAATAAGCAGATGTTATAATCTAGGAAGTAATAAAGAAGGCATTCAGTCATCTACTTAATAGTGGGAAAGTGTTTGGAAACAATTATTTGATACTTTACACCAGAATGACCTAATTGCTCAGAACAAAACTTTATAGTCAAATAAAGGGTTTGCATCTCATCTCTGCTCTTAACTAACTCCGTAAGAGTTGGGCATGTTTTGTTTGTTTGTTTAATTTCTCTAAACTATAGTTTCCTCATCTTTACAGTAGGAATAATAGTACTTAACTACAGGGCTGTTGCGTGAAACACAATACTTTCCTTTCTAGTTTACAGATTGCATAAGAAATAATTCTTTTATAAAAAAAGAAGTTTTGTAGTTAAATATCAATAAAAGTTCACATAATGAGTAGGGGTATAATGGCTGAAATATAGCAGTAGGAAATTATATAATTGTTCAAGACTGGTAAGCAATAAGGGCTGAGTGAACATAGAATATATCAAGGTGGGGATGGACTTGAACAATGCTAAGGATGATTCCACTGAAATTCCAAATGTTTCTTGCAAGTGACAGAAATGCAATAAAGATAAATATGTGAAAATTTTGTCACAAGAATACAAAAATATGCACTTAGCATAACAAAAACTCAGCAAATATAAGATGAAAGCGACCTGATTTATTCGTAATTCTGCTGGGGAAGGATATATAATTATAAGACATCTAAAGATCTCTATCAATTCCAAGTGTCACATATTTTCAACTGTTTTGCCACAACTGCTGAAATAAGATTTCTTTTTATTTTGTATTGTTTTGCTGTATCACATCTCCGTTTTAGAGAATCTCCTTTATATCTTAGTGGGAGTTAAGCTCACCTCTAGGACTCAGCTGGGAGGCAGAGAAAATATTCAGGCTTGAATCATTGCTCCTGGAGGGAATTTTTGAATATTGAACCAGATGTACATGACAGTTTTCTTCATTCTTTTTCGTCCTCTAGGACTGGCTATCAGCCTGCGGCTGATTTTGGGAATCCCCAATATCCCTCTGTATTATTTATTTTTATTGTTATTTAAGACAGTTGGTCAGTTTCTATCACTTGCCATCAACAACTCTGACTACCAGATGTGGCTAATTCTGGGTATGGGTCCTGGGCTGAGAGTTTACCAGGATGTGAGACTTAAGCATACCAGTTTGAACTAGACTCAATCCAGATGATACATTTTAAGAACATCATGACTTCCTGAGTCAAGTTACTGATTACACTAACTTGAATTTCTATCAGTATGATCGAGTAAATAGAAAACCCTCCCACTGTAAGATAGGTGGATAAAATATACCTAGATAAAAGATAACAACATTCTTTCAAATGTTGAGCTTGTGAGAATGTAAGTGCTATGGTCTGAATGTTTGAGTCCCCCTAAATTCGTATGTTGAAATCTTAACCCTTAAAGTGATAGTATTAACAGGTATGGTTTTTTGGGAAGTAATTTGTCATGAAAGCACAACCTTCATAAATGGGATTAGTGCTCTTATAAAAGGGGGCTCAGAGAGCCGTGTTGCCCCTTTCCCCCATGTGAAGACACAGGGAGAAGTTAATAGTCTACAAGCTGGAAGAGGGCCCTCACCAAAACCTGACTGTGCTGGCACCCTAATCTTGGACTTCTCAGCTTTCAGAACTGTAAGAAATAAATTTCTGTTGTTTATAAGTCACCTAGTTTGTGGTATTTTGTTATAGGAGCTTTAGTGGACTAAGACAGTAAGCAAACTCCACAGTGACCTAAAACAAAAAAGTTTTGACTGGAGTAGTTAACTGCACTAAAGTTATGATTTACCTGGACGTGTTTTCCAATCTTAGAAACCAAAAGGCTTTCTTTTAATGGACATTGTTAAAGGTGAATGAGGGGTGGGAAGTCCACATAGGAGCTAAAATGGACAATTGTAGAAGCTTTAAATAGCATAACCTAATGAAAACATGGAAAGGAAAAGAAAAAAAATCAGCTAAACTCCAAAATAAGATCAGATAATTTAGCTACTTTGGCTTGAACTCTGGTTGGGAAAAATGCATTTCCTAAAGACTTGTAAACACAAATATGGCCTCATGCTAGCTGTGTGTGGTTTAAATTTATTTCCTTTGTCCTGACAACTTCTAAATTAGTAATTACCATAAAGGAGACTTGGGTTGGTAAAACGTAAGGGTACTTGGCAGAAGTAAAAACAAATTCTCTTTGGAAGGATGCTGTCTCTATCCAGACTGCACAGACTCCCCATGGATTACTCCTGGGAACTCCAAAAATAAAACCAATAGTATCAGATCCCCAGGATCTTCAGATAATGGAATTACACATTGTATAATTGCACATTGTATAATTGCACATTGTATAATGTGTAATATCGTATAGTGGAATTATACAAGAATGCTGTAAAATAAATATTCTTAACATGGTAAAATTTAGAATATGAGAATGAACACTACTTACGTTTATAAAACGAGAACAGACATATTTAAGAAAAAAAAAGACGTGTAAAAATGTGATTAAATAAATAAGTGCAATGGATAGGTGTAATAGCAGATTAGACAAAGTTAAAGACATGTTTAGCAAACTGAAAGAATACCTAAAGTAATAACTAACTGTCCAACATAGAGATAAAAGGCAATGAAAACTATACAAGTGAGGAACAAAGGGTGAAAAGTACTAACGTGTTTAATTCGAATTTAATGGCCGGGTGTTGTGGCTCATGCCTGTAATCCCAACACTTTGGGAGGCTGAGGTGGGTGGATCGCTTAAGCTCAGGAGTTCGAGACCAGCCTGGCCAACATGGTAAAACCCCATATCTACAAAAACAAACAAAACAAAACAATACAAAATTTAGCTGGGCTTTGGCATGCGCCTGGAGTCCCCAGCTACTCGGGGGTTGAGGTGGGAGGATTACTTGAGCGCGGGACGTGGAGGCTGCAGTGACAGGAGATTGTGCCACTGCACTCTAGCCTGGGCAATCGAGCAAGACCCTGTCTCAAAAAATATATATATTTTAATGAGAATGCAAAAAGAAGTGTGAAGGAGAAAGGGGCAATATTTGATGAGATAATAGCTGATAATTTTCCAGATTTGTTCAAGATCAAGAATTCTCTGATTCAAAATCACAGTAAACCCTGAGTAGGCTAAATATAAGTAAGTCCATAGTGATCTAACTTGCTTCTCTGACTGTTTTAATAATTCTTCATGATCTGCCTTCACCAGACCTAGCTGGTCATATTTCCCACTAGTAATAACTGGTACACATAGTTCTTGTGAAAATTTGCTTATTTTTCAACATATATATCATTGTTAGTCATGCTAAAGTAGTACTGTGATGCAGAGTACTTAAATATTACCTTAGAGTGGCCAGAGAGAGCTATAAGCCTGGTGATGAAGAATGAACCAGTAGTTACAGCAGTAATCTCCACTATAGGGCAGTAAGTCAATGCAAGGGACAAATTGCCAATACATGAAAATATAAACTCCAATAAGTGAAGTTAACAGAGTTAGACTCATGGGTAGGGCTGGAAACCATTTTCATCCTGTGTCATCAGGTTGACTGTCTTGTGGGCAATACAGATAGCAACCTGGCAGGGAGTCATGACATCTCTTTTGAAAATAAATGATAAGGATGTATTCAGGTTATGTCTGTACGTTCAATGGAGCAAAAATTTTTTAGAAATGTATAAAGTTGATCATCCTTTTGAAGGAAGACACAGCAGGAACTAAAATAAATTGAGTATTTTTTTAAAATGAGAAATCTATCTCCTCAACCAAATTATCTTCTCAGTTTTGTGAAGTGGTGAACATAGTTCCTTCTGAAATCAAACAACTGTTTTCTTTCTTTTCTTTGGATAATTGCTCACCATGAAACTAAACACAATCTATCCTTTATTGTCTGTGAAATTTTATGTAATAATTCAAAAAAAGTTTTCCTGTGACAAATAATTGCCAGTTTTTTAGGATATATACCTAACGTAAATGACCAGTTAATGGGTGCAGCACACCAACATGACACATGTATACATATGTAACAAAACTGCATGTTGTGCACATGTACCCTAGAAGTCAAAGTATAATAAAAAAAAGTTAAAAAAAAAAAAACTAAATATGAGAATCTTTCAACATTAAAAAGTGCTTTATTTAGTACATGTTCAGTATTAAAGAATGCCTTTCCTGGTATGTTATGTTCATAAGGTAAGCTGGAGCTAAAGGATATTATATTGAGAGATGACACACTGTATAGTGGCATACCAATATATATTTTCCAAGAAAATTAACATAGTGTATTTCATTAAAAGAGTATTTATTGAGTACATACAAATTCAAGTTTTGTATTAAACGTGTTCTTTAATTATTGAATACTTACAACAAAATTAGGTAAGAGGTGCTGTTATTGTTCACATTTTATAGGTAAGAAACCAAGACACAGAAGGTTCAGAAACAAATCTAGAATTTGAATCCTGTAATCTAGAAATGGGTATGTCACATAGAAGCAGAGAGTAGAATGGTGGTTACCAGGTGCTAGGAGAGGTGTTGGTGGGAAGAATTGGGGTGATATTGGTCGAATGATACAAAATTTCAGTTAGGAGAAATAAGGTCAAGAGATCTATTGTAGCCAGGCACAGTGGCTCACGCCCGTAATCCCAGCATTTTGGGAGGCTGAGGCAGGTGGATCGCTTGAGCCCAGGATTTTGAGACTAGCCTGGGCAATATGGGGAAACCCAATCTCTACAAAAAAAAAAAAAGGCAAAATTAGCCTGGCGTGGTGGCATGTGCCTGTAGTTGCAGATACTCAGGAGGCTGAGGTGGGAGAATTGCTTGAGCCCAGGAGATGAAGTTTGCAGTGAGCCGAAATTGTGCCACTGCACTCCAGCCTGGGTGAAAGAATGAAAGAATGAGACCTTATCTCAAAAACAAAACAAAACACAAAAAGAAAGATTGATTATACACTGTGGTGACTAGAGTTCATGGCACTGTACTTTACACTTAGAGATTTCTGAGAGTAGCTTATAAGTGTTCTTGCCACAAATTAGTATGCGAGGTGATACAAATGTTAATTAGCTCTATTTAGCCATTCCATGATGTTTACATATATATATATATATATTTCAAAACATCATGTTGTATGCTGTAAATATATACAATTGTTATTTGTTAATTAAAAGTAATGAAAAAAAGAAAGGTAGAACTGATAATTTTAACCACCACGCTATTTACAATCCTAATTCATGCCTCCAAAGAAAGGAACTCCACTTATATTTTCCAGCAAGTTGGATGGCAGACACTATGCATCTCATTTTTCACCAATGGGGAAATAAAAAAGATGGTTGGACACTGTTTGTAATCTGTTATCATGTCCAAAAGAAATTATTTTTGTCCAGCTCTTAGGAACGTTCCATGTAGATGTCATATTCACCCTCTTGTTTCTCTGAAATTATTTAGTCCCCATGTTTTTCTGAGTCTGTTGGTCTGCCTATGCCCCTAGCCATAGGTCCTTCTACTAATGAGTCACACCTGCAAGCTTCTCTGAGCAGGTGTCCTGAGCACTCACTCAAAATCTCTCTCTAGTACTCAAACTGTAAAATTCCTTACTTTCTACATAACTATTTCTGCCCTAAGCCCCTTTTCTTCTGTAATTGTTTTTCTGACTCTCTGTCTCCAAATACATCTAGAATTTGGAGTTATTGCAAAATCACTGATCTTAATTTTCCAACTTGCCTCTCTCTACCCAAGTTATAATTCTATATTTCTCTCCTTCTCTTTCTCTTTCTCTCTTTCAATGAGGGGCTGAGCTGATAAAGACTTCCTTTTTCCTAGAAAGTAAGTAAGATGATACTGTTCATGGGCAAAGACAGAACACTCTCAATTTCTTATTAAACATTGCTATATTTATTATAATATGCCATTGAATCTTTTGTAATTTTTGGAATATGATCAAATTTTGCGAAGATAAGAATAACTCTTTTTTATTTTCCTTTATGACATTTTACTTCTAGCCAAATTAATATTGATAACAATTCCTAAAAATATCATCTATTTTGAAGTGGGCATTCTTGGCTCGTTAATGTCTTTACTGAGAATGTTTCTAAATGAGTTTGTGTATTTTTATGTGACTGTGTGTTTAGCTTACTGATTCCCATTTTTACTGTAAGTTTTATTAGAATGAATGTTAAATTTTATAAAAGACTATTTTAAATTTTGGTAGAGACAAGCATATACCCCTATACTCTTAATATAAACAATTTTCAATATTGAACCATCTTAGCAGCTCAAAGTTGAGTCCTATTTACAATTATTTTGAAAAGCTTCTAGATTAACTTGACTATTATTTCACTCAGAGTTTTTGTCTTAATAATAAGTGAGCTTTGCTCCTATGTAGAAGCTAATAAAGTTGATCTGATAGAAGTAGAGAGGATAGTGATTATAAAAGGCTGGAAAGGATGGGCAGCGGATAGGAAGAGAGGTCGGTCAGTGGGTACAAAGTTACGGTTAGATAGATGGAATAAGTTCTAATGTTCTGTAGCACTGTAAAGTGACTATAGTTAATAAAAATTTATTATATATTTTCAAATAGCTTCAAGAGAGCTTTTTTGAATGTTCCCAACATAAAAAAATGAAAATATTTGATGTATAGGTATACAAATTACATGGATTTGATCATTACACATTGTGTATTTATATCAAAACATGCTCTGCATCTTATAAATATGTGCAATTATTATGTGTCATTTAAAATTACATAATAAAAAAGTGAGCTTTGCTTGCATTTTCTTTCTTTTACGTACTTTTTGGGGGGGCTATCTTCATTATAGTTCAGAATCACAGCTGTCCTTGCTTTGTAAAAAGATCTGGAAAAGCCTTTCTTTTAAACTAGTATTTTAAAAAATTAATGGTGTGGGGCAGCTTAAATAACATAGCAATAGAAATTATCTGGTTCTTAAAGGTTTATTACATTTCCCCTGTAAATAGTCGCAGCCTTGTAACTGTTCGAAAGGCAGCTTTTTGACTGCATTTTCAATTCTTTTCTTAATATTTTCTGAGATAAATCCAGGAATCTACATTTCTCTTTAAAATAACCAATTGTATTTAGACTTCATGCATTGCAATTTAGCATTTATTTATCTTTAGGCAGCTTGCTGTAATCAGTACATAAAACATTTACTTCTTTCCTTTATCTTTCCATTTCACTGAACCATTTCCTGTACACCTACACAGACAGATCTGTGTGGACCGCCCTTCAAACCTATATGCAAACAGTGGTATGGGGAATAAAATCCAGGCATATGCCTCTGGCTTATCTACTCATTCAGAGCTCTACTTTTCAAGAAAGATTATTTGGTCCTTTAAGGCTGTGCCACCTAAAATGGCATCCTCTACTGTGAAAAAAAAAAAAAAAGTTTTTATTTCTTTTACCACAGTCTCCCTTGATTTAGTTCAAATTTTACTCTAATCTTCATGTTTTGTGGTTGTGGTTTAGGGTTATGATTCTTCCTTAGTTTCACTGAAAATGGGGTTTCCTTCACTACTTTTGTTGCTGTCATTTTTATTTTAATTTGGGAGTAGGAATTGAAATAGAAATGTCTTTCTCTGTTCATTTTTAAGAAAATCATCGCTATCCTATTTTTTTTTTACAGCATCATAATTAACTCAGCAAAAAATGAAGTTCAATATTTGCCTTTTCCTTAGCTCCTCCATCTTCCTATTATCTTAAATTCACTTAATAGTCACTGAAAGTTATCTAAGTTGTGTTTTATTAAATTCTGTGTGGCCATCAACTTTAATACGTCTCACCATCCCTCGCCTCTCAAGTCTCCCACACTCATCAAGAAGTTTATCTTGTAAGTGATCTACATTGGCACAAATGATGATACAAGGTGACCAAGTGGATGTGCTAGCAATGTCCATAAAGTGTGGGAAATGAAGAATGAAAGCAGTAGTGCGAGAATGAGCTTTTCTTTACAAGATGGGTTGGCTGTCAACAGGTGGTACGGAAATTCTCATTGATGGAAAGAGCTGGCACAGAGGCTCAAAGATGGGGCAAAGAAGAATATATCTGCAGACTGGCTAGTCACCCAGAGCAAACTGCAAGGAAGGGGAAGATGAGGCTGGTGTGGTGATTTAAGGGGTAGTAAAGAAAAATAATCTTTTTTTGAGACAGGTTCTCTCTCTCTGTCACCCAGGCTGGAGAAAAATAATCTTGATATAGCCTACTTCTTCAAAAAACTGGGTGGTAGTTCAAAGGACATAAATTTCACATTCCATCTGTTCCCACATTTCTACTAATCTCTCCTTGAAATATCAAAGCTAGCTATTTTCTTCTCCACTGTCGCTATCACCAAGAAAAACAATAAAAATCATACTAGCATATTTATATGCCAGCCACGAAGCATAGATTTTACCTTCAATATCAGACTGATGTCTCATTTGATGTTTCAGAAAAACAATGCTACACAGGAGGTATTTTTAGGCTCATTTTGCATTTGAGGAAATTGGGGCACAAAAAGGTGAAAGAACTTGAGGAATTTGCATTGGAAGTAAATAGTTTAGCTGTGATATGCTTCTGCATATGTCTTCAAGTAATATGTTTTTACTGACTACATAATTTTAACTCTACCAAGATGCAAGGCAACTTCTGTTTTAAAATATTGTAAATGTAACTGATACTCATTTAAGAAAATTTAGGAAAACTGAAGAGCATACACATACCAGCAAAACCATTACCCAACTAATTCTTTGAAGCCTTAAGGTAAAAATTTTCCTTCTTTCCTCTAATCAGCTTTTCATGGCTAACAATTATAAATATCATTTGTAAGCAATATTTTGCTTCAGCATATATTTACACATTTAAATACACCCAAGTTATTTTATTGTCCAATAATATGTTATTGATATATTTTCAAGTCAGTAGATTTACTTTGCTATTTTTAAAATTTCTGAAATACTTTATTTTTGGATCTATAATTCCCCTATCAATGGATATTTAAAATTTTTAAATTTCATTTTTGTCTTTTCTTCATTCTTATTGTGATAATAAGCTTTCCTGTGAACATATCTAAATTGTTTATATATAATTTTTTATATTTATAATTCTACATGAGAGATAGGATTAATGGTTTTAGTGTTGCTGGATTTTCTGGGCTCTAGCCTACACGCATTTATAATATAGATAAATGGTATCATATTAGACTTTCAGAACCACTGTACCAATTTGTCATCCACCAACTAAATATGAGAATACATTTTTGTTTAATAACACACACACTGAATATTTCAATATATTTTATTTTTTTGAACCTGTATAATAGGCATCAAAAGCTATATTACTTTTTTAAAGATTAGTATTATATTTTCATGTGTCTGCTATTTGTTTGTAGTTTTTATCTGGAAATTTATTGTTTACATACTTTGTCCATTTTTCTCTTGGGATAAATGAACTTTTAAGAAGTTGATGTATAGAAGCCCTTTTTATTTTATAAGTATTAATATTTGGCTTGTATATGTCAAAATCCTTCTCCCTTTTTAAATTATTTATGTGTTAACTTTGTTTAGTGTAATTTCATAACAGAGAATTAGTACATTGTTATTCAAATCTGCCATTTTTTTCTTTTGTGGATTGTGAAGTTTTCATCATTTTTCCCAATATTCGGCTAGTACATTTTTTATAAATGGGTCTTTATTCTTCTTGGTGAGGATACACTATCTACCCTAAGAGTAGATGTGTATAGTATATAATAAAAAAGTCTCTTTCCCTTTAAAGATCACTCAAGCATTCACTTACTATTTATTTACTAAATCATATTATCCCAGTGATTTGAAACTCCATCTACATTATATACTTAATGTACGTGACTCTTGTTCTGTCTGACCTTTATTTCACTATCTGTATGCCATTAGCACACTGTTTTAATTATATTAGCCTTTTTATAATATTTTAGTATCTTGAGTTCTTCTCTCTTCTTAGTTTTCTGCTGCCTTACCACCTCCTGTGCTTTACAATTGGTTTTGCATTCTCTTTCAGTTTCTTTCACCTGTAAGTCCATTCCTTAGGTCTTGTCCTGAGCTTCCTTCTCTGCCGCTACTCAGACTATATGGAATTTCGTCTTCTAACTTAAGAAGAATCCACAAAGAAGCGTCTAAAGCTGCAAATCTCCCATTAACATTGATGAACTTCAAATATTTTCACATAACCCTGTCTCATTTTATCTGCCTTCTTGATATTTCCAACTTGAAACCCCATTGGCGTGTCAAACTCAATGTGTTTAAAGCCAAACCCAACAATCTCAAATCTTTTCACTTTCCAGAGCCCAGGCACAATAATATCCTGTTATAACAATATAGGTGTAAATGTTTTAGAACCTGGGTTACTAGTTTGTATCTGTCAGTATCATCATTACGATGAGGATGATAACCAATCTCTGTGCCAGGTTCTGAGCTAAATATTCAGCAGTCTCTCCTTAATCCTTGACTCTTCCCTGTAGATTTTGTAGTATTATCCTCAATTTAGAAACATCTTAACTGAGGAAGAGAGAGATTAAAAAATCCCTGCCAAAAAACCTCACCTAGTAAGTGGCAAAGCTTATTTATGGTACCTGTATATACCTCTGCAATATGTATTTGCTATTCAAACCTGCCTTATATTGGTTGTGGCAGGCAGGCTCACAGGACCTTGGATAAAGACAGGATGGGATTAGTTGGAGAGTGGTGGTTTATTATATCAGAATCACCTAGTGGGCTTTAAAAATTATCTGTGTGCCTCAAACTTGTGAGATTCACTAAACAAATGTGTCTTATCACAAAATTTTCTAATATATGTGCTATACTTATATCCTTCAGAAAATATTATCAAGTCTAATCCTCAATAATTAAATACTAAGTGAAATGGCCTTTTTAAACTTACAGTAACTACAGATAACTTCAATCATTACATTTTTTCGCTGTAATGCCATGCCTACATAAAGTTTTAATATACATAAGATACATATCAAAGACATAATATATTAGACAAGTACAACTCTTCAATTTCTTAACTTTTAAGATACATAATTGCTCACTATGAAGACTTAAATGGAGATCATCACTTTTCTAATTAATTTTTTTGTTTCATCCTTCTTACTAATTGAAAATAGGCTTTCAATATAGAATGCTTTGAAATTGGATGAAGAGACAGAACTGGAAATGGACTTAATTAACTACAAACTGTCCAAATCAATCCTAGTTTGACAGTGCCTCAGTAACACATACAGTTCGTAATTTATTTGAAATCTGCTGTAATGCACATGCCATAAATTGCACAGAAGCCATGCTCACTGTGCACAAAATTTAGTGCCAGGCTACGAAGTTGCACTGGGAAAAAACTGTCCCTTCAACACAGACTATTTTGGAAAGATACAGTTTTACTTTTTCATTTAGGCAACTAATGATCTCCTGAAAATAAGTGCTTTGCTTTTTGCCCCAATAAAATTTGACATTAAAAAAAAAACCCTTAAAAATGTTTCAGTGTGTTTCCAAGCAGTTAAGCATTATAAGGGGCACAGTTAGGTCTGCATGCTTTGTTACAGAGTCTCAGAGGGTCTATCTTGGAATAAATTAAATATTGTAGGTGATAGAGAAAAGTTTATGCCTATGAAATTCTATTATCCTCTTCTTAATATTATAAAAATAATTTTGTAGACATTCAAAACATATAATATTAAGTATAAAATTGATTAATCTCACTATCTTTTGGATTATCTTATATTTATGATTTTGAAGAAATCTGTGTTTCTTCAACTAAAGAAAATTTATCTGTATCAAATTTTCCTTTGTCGAGAAGAATAACTGAGAAAGATTATGGCATATAGTTGACTAGGTCACCTTACAGAATATTTTTGGTCAAAGGGATCTCTAATTCTTACTCAGTGATCATTTTTCACATGCAGATATCCTAAGCATACATTTAGTTTCCTATATTCCCCAACTACTTAAGAAACATAAGTAGCCACTACATTATCATTAACTTATTTCAATTCTTGAATATATGTGTTTAAATAAGAAGGGAAGTAATATTTACTGTGTGCTTCCAATTTGCAAGCCGCAAAAATCCTACAAGGGTTTTGTTATTGCTTTTTATTCCTATGTAAGAAATGCTAGAAATATGTGATGAGTTATGGGGATAATTCAAGAAGAGGAAACTCAGTCATCTTACATAAATGTCTAGCTCATACCAACACACACATAATTTCAAGTTTCTGGAAGAAATGGTAGTTGGCTAAAAAAATATTTTATTTTTCATGAGGTGTTCACAGAAATTATATGGCTGCACCATATCTCAGATCAAATGATTTTTCAAGCCTGTGCAACAAATTATGGTAATACCATCATTGACCTATCTTTAACCACCTGAAAATATGGGCAATTTTAAATAGGAATGAGTGGTATGTTTGAAATGGTAGGAATTGACTTAGAAAAGCCACAGGAAAGAATAAAGCAGAAAAAATATATACAATTGTGGGAGAAAAAGACATGAAAATCCATTAGGTCTTTTGTAATGAAAAAAAAGTTATTTTAGTCAAGATACCATTTTCTACTTTGAAAAAATATAAACTCTTCTCCTGACTGAAGCCATGATTTACTAATTATCAAGTGCAAAGAAAAATGCACATCAATGCTTGTTTGTTTTGTTTCATTTTTAATAGGATTATGATTAGCTCAATTTTTCTACTATTAAACAGAAGAAAAAATTAGGCCAATAAATAGAAAAGGTATTATAATTTTTATTTCTTTTTACTATCTTTTGAAAAAAAAACAACACTGAATGCTGCTTGAGCTGAACTGAGTCTTAGGATGTAAATTGGAGGTTGATAAACAGGAAACTAACAGGTATATCATGATTCCAGAGTCTAAGACATAAGATGTTACTGATTTGGGGGCAAAGTGTGCAACCAAAAGTGGGCAAAATGTTTTCTCACAAAGTAAAGTCTATAAAGAACCAAAGGGAAAACTATAAGCCTAATAAAACCAACTGGAATTGGCTGCTGAAAAGAAAATATTTATTAGCAAATTAATTATAAATGATCGCTATCATATAGTAATTTGGGGTCTCATATAACTAAATGAATTTAGGAGTAAGGACACTTTCTGAAGTAGCTTGAATGGGGGTATCCTGGGTGTCACTAAGACATGGCTTCTGGCCTCTTTGTCCCTAGGATTCTTATATGTCTTAATGTCATGGGTACATTATAAATGGTGACAGGATAGAGGTAGCATCCCTAGCCCATATGCTTTCAAGTTCAAAATTATTGGTGGTAATTTCTAACCGCAACTTTGTTAAAAAACTGACAAACCTTTAGCTCTGATTGGGTCACATTTCATTCCTGACTAGTAACTGTGTCCACTCTAGAGCTGGGAGTGTATCAGCCCCAACCAGCTGCAAATGTGGAGAAGGCTGGCTGCTCAAAGAAAGTTTGGGGAACTTCTCTACCTGTGGGATGAATGGGTGCTGATTGTCAAAAATAACAGATACCCACTTTAGGGCTACTTAGAAAATATTAGTGGCCTCTCTCTTTGATTGCAGCAAGGTTATTGAATATACTTAGAGGAAAAAACCTTATGGCTATTCATCCAACAAATATTTTTGGAGCACCTGGTATGTTATGGACACAACCCTGATCTCATGAAGGGTATAGTCTGGTGGGGTAAGTGCCGCATGGTTCATGTGTACTGTCATTTTACCTCCTTACCAATAATAACTCCACTTGTACAAAATATTTCATATTCCTCTGTGTTTGGTAACAGCAGAAATCATGCAACATACAAATAATAAACCAACATTCTGTGTATGAAGAAACTAATTTGTATATTTTCAAGCACAATTTTTAAAAATATGAGATATGGAGGTAAAAAATGATAAATTACTTTCTGCCTTGTTTCAAAACTAATGCATGTGTATTGTGACAGATTAAAAACGTATAGAAGTGTTATTAAAAAGTCATAACATAACAGATACTGGTGAGGTTGTAGAGAAAAGGCAACACTTTTATACTGTTGGTGGGAGTGTAAATTGGTTCAACCATTGTGGAAAGCAGTGTGGTGATGCCTCAAAAAGCTGAAAGCAAAACTACCATTTGACTCAGCAATCCCATTACTGGGTATATACTCAGAGAAATATAAATCATTCTACCATAAAGACACATGCACGTGAATGTTCATTGCAGCACCATTCAGAATAGCAAAGACATGGAATCAACCTAAATGCCCATCAATGACAGATTGGATAAAGAAAATGTGGTACATATACACCATGGAATACTATACAGCCATAAAAAAGAATGAGATAATGTCTTTTGCAGGAACCTAGATGGAGTTGGTGGCTATTACACTTAGAAGACTAACACAGGTACAGAAGATCAAATACCACATGTTCTCACTTAAAAGCTGGAGCTAAATGATGAGAACTTATGAACACAAAGAAGGAAACAACAGACACTAGGATCTACTTGAGGGTGGAGGGTGGGAGGAGGGAGAGGAGCAGAAAAGATAACTATTGGGTACTGGGCTTAATTCCTGGGTGATGAAATAATCTGTACAACAAACCTCCATGACATAATTTTACCTATCTAACAAACCTTCTCATGCACCCTTTAACCTAAAATAAAATGATTAATTAAAACAAGTACATGGAAGTGAAAAAAATAAAACGCAAAAATTTGTACCCCACATCCTCACCCATAACCTCACTCTTTAGATGAGGGGTGAGCCAGCTGTCAGCAGTTTTGTATGTATTCTTTCTGAACTTAGAATGCTCCAGCAACTAAAGCATCAAGTCTAAGCCCTTCAACATATTATTTAATGGCTGACCACAGGCCCTGCGCTGCCTTTTCTACTCTCTTTTAACACAGTCCCTAAGGTCCTGTTGCTCCAGTTACACTTGACTTCTTGCTCTCTCCAGACTGTATCTCCACTTTACTTCTTGGTCCCTTTACTGATGATAGTACTATTATGTAGAGTTCCCTTCTACCCCAGACCTCCATTGGTAAAATCCTAATCATCTTTCAAGAAACAGCACGGTTGCTATTATCTTCTGTTAGCATTTGTTATGATTGTATTATATCATTTCATGTTTCTCCTACGTCAAGTGTATTATAATAATAACACTCCCTCTGAACTGTGAGCCATTAATTACACTTTTGTTACTCATTAATCTTCCTGTGCTTCAGAGGTATATGGCAGGGGTTGGCAAAACTATAGCTTGCTGCCAAAATTTGGCTCCTGTGTGTGTAAGGAAAGTTTCATTTTAACTCAGTCATTCCAAGCATTATCTATTGTTTATGGAAGCCTGTGTGCTACAACAGCATCTGATGAGTAGCTGTGAAACAGTCACATAGCTTACAGTCCAAACTAATCTCTGGTGTTTTACAGAAAAGGTTTGCTGATCCCTGGTGTAAAGTTTTGCACATAATGAATGTCCAGTAAATACTCGATGAAATGTGTACATGAGTATTCTTTGGCTCCTACCCCCAGAAGTACAGCCCTGAATTTCAATGACTCAGTTATTTTATCACCACAATGCAAAAACCCTGTTGAACCAATGTCTGCCCCATTTGGATGTTTTATTTGATTTTGCGTGAGTAGTCTAGGTCTGGGTAGTGGAGGTGAAGTGGCAGTAAAATAGAGGACAAGATCATTTTTTTCATGTCAGTTTATATTGGCAGGAAGTTACCTTTCCTTCCACAATCAAATGTTTGTAGGGTGAAAGTTTTATGTACCATTTTATATAGATGCATCAAGAATATTTTACAAGTTGCTGTTACAACAACCAAAAATATGCTTTGAAAAAATTGCTTGTGCTGACAGGAAATATTTCCAGAATGAAAATCTTGGTTATGATCATTTGGGTTACAGAAAGCATTTTGTTTATATCTGAGATACAACTTAAAGTTTCTCAAAATCTTCTAGCTCAGCTTTCAATGAAAAGAACACTTCCTCTTTGAAAGAGATGAAAAAACTACCCATGTAATATTTTAGCTGCCAAGAAGTGGTCAGACTTTACATCTTGAAACTTTGCTTTTCAAGTTCAACCTTAAAGACATGTTTAAGAAAAGTCCCTAATCCCTGAACAAGACAAATTGCTTTGGCTGAAGAAGATTCTAATGAGATGAGTTTTACAGTTGAAGAAGTTTGCAATTTGTCTTCAGAATTTTCGATTGCAGATAAACCTTACCAAAATCTGACCTCAGCACATTTGATTATTTGGAAAATATGCAACTCTAATGTAATAAAAAGCACATAGGTTTTGAAGACAGATCACAGAGTCATGTCACATCTTCCATTTACTAGTATTTGGTTGTTGTTGACTGACTTTGCCAAGTCATAAACACCTATTACCTCAGTAAAAAGTAAAACAGAGATAAAAATACTCATTTCATGCCTTTTTTGAGAGGTTTAAATAAGATATAAGTAAAAATGGCTAACATAGCTTGACTATAATAGAAAAATCTATAAACATTGATAGTCTATAAAATTAAAATCTAGTTTAATGGTCTAATAGAAATATTTCAATTTTTTATCTTTGCTGATATAATCCCATTAACAACAAAATAGCCAAACCATGGCATCTGTATTTGAAGATCTCAAAGTTCCAGAGAGTATTAAACTTTTGGCAATCGTCTATTACCAAAAACACCATCAAGACTGGCCTTTTATAGATAATTAGTTCATAGTCATTGGAAATAGGGCCTCCTGTATTAAGTGTTTGATAATAGTTGACCACCGAGAAATGGAGAACCTTCACTAATTTACTCTCCTAGAATCACCCTGCCAGTCTAAAAAGGTGACAACTCCCAAACTGAATCAGAGCTGTAACTTCAAGAAGAAAGAGTGTATTCTTCATTACGAAGCCCTCAAGTTAGTGAGATTCTGTGCCCTCATTTTTCCTTTATGCATTTAATATTATTCATTGGTTTCAGTTGAGCTGGCTGGAAAAAGCCCTTTGTTTGGTTCTTAATCATTCCATTTGAAAATGGCAAGTTTGCTGTCTGTGCCGGTTTTCTAGAATTATCCCTCAGCACCATAAACTAATTGGACGTTTTAAATTTAAAATGAGAAATCATTAGAATTGCAATAAGGTGAAATTATGAGAAGATCATACCAATACAAGTACCTGAATGTGTCATGCTTCTGAGAAAGACTTAAACAAATTAAGATTTAAACCTTGACACTAAAGAGAAAATTTAGATTTCAACACTATGCTGCAGAAATCTTAAAGCATTTTAAAAAAATAGGTTGCAGGAAAGACTGTCCATGAAATGAGAGACTTTTCACATATCTCTGTCAGAGGTCAAACATGTCAGTGTTTTTAGGTTGCAAATTTGCCATGTTTTGCTAGGTATGGGAAATAGGTTATAAATCTCTATTGAGTTCAACTGAGTAATTTCAGTGAAAAACACATGAATTTCACAGAAGTGAAAGCTAAATTACCTTTCCCTCTTAATCAATGTAGACAACCAATTAGAAATGTGGTGGCTTTAAAGTTTCTCTTTTTTTTGTACTCAACAAAATATTAGTGCCTAAATTATCTGGCTAAATGATTTTGCTTCTTCTAATCATAAAAATTCTCTCTTAAATGCAATTTCTTTTTGTCAAGGTAAAAAAAAATACTTTGTGTTTTTTAATATTTTTTTAATTTAAATATTTGTAGAGGCATTTGTGCTTTTCCTGAAGGCATAATTCAGGCAACTTTGAAGTTAATCTGTTAGTAAATTGTAAATGAATGTTTCTTAGCTAATATTATGCTAGTTTAAGGGATTTATGTTTATGCAAGCCAAGATTTTGTTTGGACAAACAAGTTAAGCAAATATGAAAAACAGAAATAAACGAGAGTGAACCATACATTGTTCAATCTTCTGGAATAATCTCAGTCTATATAAAAGCGAGTCCTTGTGATTTAGAGATACAGATAGGAACAACTTCCTGAAGGTAAGATTTCAAAGATCGGCAGGATTTTTAAAAGGCTGAGTAGGAATGTGGGTAAGAAGGACATGTTTTAAGCATGATCAAAAGAGAGAGACAGCTTTGGAAAGGGAGAAAACTGTCTGGAGTCAAGTGGTCAGGCAGGAAACTAGGAAAAGAAGGTTACCAAGGAAGACAAGGGACATGATAAAAAAGAGCTGAAAAAAGTGGGCAGACCCTTAACATTGTGAGAACAGGGAGCCATTCTGATTATTAATCAAGGGAGAGACATAATATTCTGTGTGTTTCAGTTTCTAAGAGGCATTTGAGAGGAGTGGTCAAGTTCACACTCTGGAATCAGACTTCCTGGGTTTAAAACAAACATACTCCTCTTGCTATGTGTTTACACGCGTGTGTGCGTGCGCATGTGTGTGTGTGTGTGTTTGCCTAAAGGCATCTTAAAATAAAAATAAAAATGATTCTTATATTCTAGGGTTGTAGAGAAGATTAAATCAGTGAATGTACTGAAGGTACTTAGAAACTAGGACATAGTGAGCACTTAAAAAATACTGGCTACCTATTTTATGGAGAGGGAGACTTCATCTGCCAACGACGTAGAGGATGGCTTATGTGTTAGTCAGTTTTTGCATTGCTCTAAATACTTGAGGCTGGGTAATTTATAAAGAAAAGAGGCTTAATTGGCTCACGGTTCTGCAGATTTTATAGGAAACATGGTGCTGGCATCTGCTTCTGGTGAGGCCTCAGGAAGCTTACAATCATGGCAGAAGGTGAAGCAAGGGCAGGTGTGCCACATGGTGGCAGCAGGAGAAAGAGAAGAGAGAGAGGGAGGAAATGCCACACACTTTGAAACGACCAGATCTCAAAAGAACTCACTATCGTGAGGCTATCACCAAGTCGTTCATAAAGGATCCCCCCTTATGACCCAAACACCTCTCACCAGGTCCCAAATTCAACACTGGGAATTACATTTCAACATGAGATTTGGAAGAGACAAACATCCAAAGTATATCGGCTTAGAAGCAGAAGAACCTGGGACAAAATAAACAATCAAGTCTGGTGCAGTCATCACTAGACCCCAGACTCCTTAAAGTCATAGATCCTATTAAATTTAGTCTTACATCTCTCATAGCCAGGAGAGTGCCATGTACATAAAAGATACTCAATACACACTGAATATTATTAGAGAATGAGGTGAAGCAGACATAGACCTATTGTAGCAGTATGTTGGAAAAAAAAAGCACATATGGGCAGTGTTTTAAAGGAAGAACTGTACTGTTGAATGATTTATAGTCCAGCCCCAGTTTCATAACTCAATAGCCCTTTAATATTGATTAGGTCATTGTATGCTTCTGAGATTTTTTTCCAGTGAGGGCAATGATACTTAGAGTATTATTGTGAGAATTACTGAAGTTTCCTCACATCGTGGTACAGAGAGGGAGGAAGAGAGCACTCACACAGTCAAGCTCTTTCCTATTTCTTCTGAGAAGGTCACTAATCCCATTATGGAGCCACCATTCTTATGGCCAAATTACCTCCCCAAAGCCCCATCACAGCAGGGATTAGGTTTTCAACACATGAATTTAGTGGGGACATAAACATTCATTCTTTAGCAAAAGTAAAAAGGATTCTGAAGTCTGGGAAAGGGTGTTCATTTGGGAGAAATACTTGGTTAATTTTTTTTATAAGTTTGAGGTGATAGCTTAACTCTCTTTGCATCAAAATCACTTCAAATTAAAAAAAAGAGGATTTGTAGGCTACTTTCTGAATGAGCACGTTACTATTCCATAGACTGAAAACATTCCTTAAACTAACACAAAGAGCAATAATACTTTTTATTTTACTGTATTTTTTGGAGACAGAGTTTCATTCTGTTGTCCGGACTGGAGTACAGCAGCATGATCATGGCTCAGTGCTGTCTTGACCTCCCAGGCTCAGGTGATCCTCCTGCCTCAGCCTCCGAAGTAGCTGGGACCACAAGTGCATGCCACTGTACTTGGCTAATTTTTTTATTATTTGTAGAGACAGGGGTCTCCCTATGTTGCCTAGGCTGGGATCAAACTCCTGGGCTCAAGCAATCTTCTTGCCTCAGCCTCCCAAAGTTCTGGGACAACAAGCCATGAGCCACTGTGCCAGGCCAGCAGTACTACCCTTGATGACATTACTCAAGAGATAATGTGTCATTTGCATGAAAAATAAACAGATGCATGTTTCTGTGTGTGTATATATATTTATGTATACATGTATACATATACACATGTATACAAGTACAAACACATATATACACATGTCTATTCACAAAAGCCGTATGGTTTCTGAGGTCCACAGGCCATAGTAAGAGACCTGGTGCCATATTTTTATATATATAAATAAAATTACATAATGAGAGTTGTGATAGTTGGGAATAGCGATTGTAGTTGCTCTAGTCCTGGTCTCTATTGTGTAGTGGTATACAGGCTGACATTGTTCTAATCCTGATCTTAAACAAGATAGGTTTTCTGGGTCCATTTCTTTTCTTTTCTCTCTCTCTCTTTTTTTTTTTTTTTTTTGAGATGGAGTCTCACTCTGTTGCCCAGGCTGGAGTGCAGTGGCACGATCTTGGCTCACTGTAACCTCAGCCTCCTGGGTTCAAGCAGTTCCCTGCCTCAGCCTCCCAAGTAGCTGGGATTACAGGCGCCCACCACCACGCCTGGCTAATTTTTGTAGTTTTAGTAGAGACAGGGTTTCAACATGTTGGCCAGGCTGGTCTCAAACTCCTGACCTCAGGTGATCCTCCTGCCTTGGCCTCCGAAAGTACGGGGATTACAGGCATGAGCCACTGCATCTGGCGTCTGGGTCCATTTCTTACTGATAAAGTGAGCTGAAAGTATTTGAGAAACTCTTGGGCATTACCACCATTAATACTACCTTACCATGATGAATTCTACCATCATAGCTTGATTTTTCTGAAGCTTTTTGGATCATCTATAGTTCCTTCTGAAATTCAAGCATTTCTTTGTGCAGTTGAGTCCTGATAGTGAGTTATCAGCCTCTACATTAACTGACAGCCTGCAGGAAAAAGATGGGGTTCAGTGCCCAGCAGTGGCTGTAGTATTGAACTATATGCATCCTGAGTGTTAGTGAAATAGAACTTGACTAGTTGTTCCCATTTTGGAGGATATTTTTTCACAAAAGGTCTTAAATCTAATTTTAAGAATGACACCAAAGGTAAGGCATCTTCAGAATAATTGAGATTTACTTAAACTGTGGAATATGAGCAGATCACATGTTTTACAGGCTTTATCACCTTAAAAGGTCAAGTATTCTATTATAACAGTGATGTACTCAGTAATTTAGAAAAGCTTTGCCTTAACTAGGGCTCCTAGTGTGGTACATTGTTTGCAAAGAGCACTAAAATATTTTTTTCCAATCCACATGCCTTTTTCAAATTAAAATTTTCCCTTCCTCTTATCAAGAAGAAAAATCTATGCTCCTTCCCTTCCAAACTGAACAGAGCCTGTGACATGCTTTGAACGATAGAATGACACAGAAGTGATTTTGAGGGACTTCCAAGGTTATGCCTTAAGAGGTCTTGAAGCTTCTGTTTTTGTCATCTTGGACCCTTGAGAACAAATCCCTGTTGTCTTATGGCACTGTGTTCTAGGATGATTTGTTAGGCAGGAAAAGAAAGCTGGCTGGGCGCGGTGGCTCACGCCTGTAATGCCAGCACTTTGGGAGGCCGAGGCGGATGGATCACGAGGTCAGGAGATCGAGACCATCTTGGCTAACACGGTGAAACCCCGTCTCTACTAAAAAGTACAACAAAAAATTATGTAGGTGTAGTGGCGGGCGCCTGTAGTCCCAGCTACTCGGGAGGCTGAGGCAGGAGAATGGCATGAACCCGGGAGGCGGGGCTTGCAGTGAGCTGAGATCACATCACTGCACTCCAGCCTGAGCGACTGAGCAAGACTCCGTCTCAAAAAATAAAAAATAAATAAAAAGCAACTGTTCCACTGTAACACATGATCACATGTGAGGCAAGTGTGCAAACATGCATGGACCAATGGATCAGTAAGCATACACCTAAGTCTTGACTGATCGACATAAAGTTTTCTTTATGAAAAACCCATATTCCCTCATCAATGAACTCATCGTCTCTTCCTAGGCTCATCTCTATGAAAAATTTCCAGCTAGCTTTGCGGTACTTAGAATGCTACATTTAATGGAGGAAATACTGAATATGATTTATTACTCCATAAATCCTATGCCATTTTGCCTTTTTTCATTAATTATTGTTTTTTTAGTTTCTTGAAGATAATCGTAACTATATTCACATTCCTGTCACTTTCACCTGGATGTTAGTTTCTCAAGGAGAAAATTCTGTCATCTAAATTTCTCTGCTGGAGAACAGCAGACTTCCCCTTGCAGTGGGTTCTGTGCTACCAGAGATGCATGAGTTCCTTGACCCATATATGAAGCAAGTGCATAAACATGAATGGAAAAATGAATTAGTGAGGGGGTCAGTACAGGGTGGACAAAGAGTCATATACATGCAAAGTTACAAATGGTTAATGCCGCAGTTCTTCCTTTCTGCTTGCACAGCTATAGCTTACCCAGAGAGGATTAGGACCCAGGAGGGGAGTAAGGTGTGATGCAAGAGAACATGGTGTCCCTTGCATTGAGGTTCAGTTTTCTTTCTAGCTGAAGTTTTCACATCATACATAGCCCAATGCCAATTCATCTGGATATATGAGATTGTCCTGTGTGTTTTTGTTTTTTTTTTTTTTGAGACGAAGTCTTGCTCTTGTCCCCCAGGCTGGAGTGCAATGGCATGATCTCAGCTCATTGCAGCCTCCACCTCCCTGGTTCAAGTGATTCTCCTGCCTCAGCCTCCCGAGTAGCTGGGATTACTGGCACCTGCCACCAAGCCCGGCTAATTTTTGTATTCTTAGAAGAGACGGGGTTTCACCATGTTGGCCAGGCTGGTCTCGAACTCCTGACCTCAGGTGATCCTCCCACCTCGGCCTCCCAGTGTGCTGGGATTACAGGCATGAGCCACCACGCCCGGCCTGTCCTGTGTGTATTTTATGTGTGTTCTGTTTCTCCTCTTTGATTATAACATGGTGAATCTTCTATTTCTCTTATAATTGCATACATTGTGTGGCATATGCAATATTTGGCATTTATTTAATAAATGCTCCTAACAAATGGGATGAGTTGTGCTGGAAACTCTGATAAAATAATATGTTTGGGTGACTTAATCCAAAATTCTAACTCCTAATTTTGAAAGACTCAGAATAGCCTGAAACGTTTTCAAGTATGCCAGGCATGGTGGCTCACACCTGTAATCCCAGTACTTTGGGAGGAAAAGTGGGTGGATCACCTCTAGTCAGGGGTTTGAGACAAGCCTGGCCAACATGGCGAAACCCCATCTCTACTAAAAATACAAAAATTAGCTGGGCATGGTGGCGGGCGCCTGTAGTCCCAGCTACTCAGGAGGCCGAGGCAGGAGAATCACTTGAACCAGGGAGGCGGAGGTTGCAGTGAGCCGAGATTGTCCCATTGCACTCCAGCCTGGATGACAAGAGTGCAACTCTGTCTCAAAAAAAAAAAAAAAGTCTCCGAGTGTAGTGTACAATATCTATTGTTTTTATCTGTTTTCTAAGCCAAAATAATATAGATATATGAAAGTCTACTGACACTGTTCTTTGAAGCATTTAAAAGAAATAATATGGATGACAAATAATCAATCTTAAAAATCTTTGAGCAACTATATTTAGGTATAATTACAACTGTTATTTTCTTAGCTAGCATATAATAGGTACTATGGTAAAATATATGCAAGCCTATTAATTTAAAATGACACTATGGGGATGGTAACTACAAGCTAAGCTACAATATGTATGGAAAGTAATTATGCAAACTATGATAAAATAATATTACTCTTCTTGTTACTGGCTTATTTTTATGTGAGAATGCACTACTGAGAAACTTCTTACAAGGTTTTATTCAATTCTAATCAAGAGAATATTTATTTTTGGCTTAATCTGCCTATTGAGAGCATACACACTTGCTCTATCACATAATCCCTGAGGTAAAAATAAAATGTGTATGTTTCATCCCTATATAGGGATGCCCTACAATGGGTATGGAGAGGCATTTTATGGCCGGGCTTTACTGTACACATTCTTTACCATCATGGAGTCATTTCAGCATGTAGAAAACATCAGAAGTGGCTATCTGGTAATAAAAATACCAGCATTTCTCTTATGTGAGAGGAAAGCAGATGCCAGTATCTACTCCATTTTGTCATGGTAAAGCTATCACTCATGGTGCCTGACTCACCTGGCCACAGGCTATAGGACTAGAGTGTCATCCCAACCAAAATTGCCATGGTCACAGATGTTGGGCCTGTGATAGCTCCACAAAATAAGGAGAGTCAGTAAAAAGCTTTCCTGTTATGTATGGAATGTGAAGAAAGAGGGCTCCCCTTTTTTTCAGGTGTCAAACTATATGATCTCAAATCATGTAGCTGATTTGCTCATCTTTCATGGCACATGGGAAACCTGCCTAAAATTGAAATCCCTTGACAAAGGGAATGAGCCAAGAGAGAAAGAAACAGTCCAAATGACATTGCTTGAGGCATTTAACATTGCTTGTGTAAAGCCAGCTTCGTCTACCCATGGGCTTCCCATATGTAAACCCAATAAATTCTTTATTTGCTTAAACAAGTTTGAATTGGTTTTATATCATTTAAAATCAAGCCCCTATGCTATAGTGCTATAGTGCAACTCATCAAGGCAACAGGTTAGTAAAAATCAAATACATTTTTAAAAGTTTATCTTTTTACAGTGATTAGAGGGACTAGGTTCTAAATCATTTACCTTGCTTTGGTTAGTCAAGTATCTGGGTATCAGTCCTTGGAAGGCATGATTTGCAACATTTCTGGGAAGAAATCAGCTAATATGTAATAAAACTAAGTGTACTCATGAGAATTTTGTAGTCATTTTGACTCCACAATTAAGTAAGTATTAGATATTATAAATTCTTCAATGCTGTCGCTTTTACCTGTTACCAGGGGAGGGCATCCCTGTGTGATTTCGTTAGTGTGTATGTCCATGGGACATCTTTACAAGCATCGTTTTTAAGGTTTATGTTTGGATACTTAATTATATGGCACCATTCTACAACAAGGTGAATCTGAAATGTTAATGGTTAAATCCCTGAATGGATAACTCAAACAACATCCTCTAGGAAACTCTGTTTGCAAGTACCAGAGTTACTTCAGGGTTTCAATGTATTGTTTATAATCCGTTGTATGAAAGAAGAACCTCTTTCCTTTATAAATTACCCAGTCTCGGGTATTTCTTTATAGCAGTGTGTAAATGGACTAATACGAAGTCTTTGCTGTTACCAGTTTTATATTTAAAGGCTTAATTTCTGTATATCTCATATGCTTCAGGTATTTTTCTATTTTCACAATTTATTGACTATTGGGTTTCTAAACTGCCAGCTACAGGATTTGAGAAGTTACAGTTCTCCAGCCCATGTTGGAGACTTGTCAAATTATAGTAACATTAAATGAATGGGATTTCTATTTTATTTTTCGGCATTTAATGGTAGCAAGTTCTAAGCACCATGTGTCACATAAAGTGTATGACAGTAGGGTGGTATCTAGTTACAGAAGCACAAATATGAATAATGGAACTGAAGAATCTATAATAAGTTACTGCAGGTGGTGACTCCAGAGGAAGACAGTTCTGTGTAAAAACAGCACCAATTAATGACAGATAAAAAAAAAGTAGAGAAAAAAATTCCTTTGGCACATCTAACAACCTAAGTCACCAGGGCTATAAAAATCTTCATTATTTTAATATGCATTATGAATTTTAATTTTTAAAAATACCGCTAGAATACTTTAAATCAACTTTTTAATGATAAAGAATTTACATTTTATGTAAAGTTTTCTTCCATACTTTGAAGGTTAATTCATTTTCATCCAGGATCTTATCCTGAGGCAACATTCAGTGCCATGGAGTGAGGCAAAGATAAGTTTGAATTGCCATAGAGTTAAATGCACAGTGTGGAAGAAGAAAGCTCCAGGAGTGATCCAGTGTATTTATATGATAAAATATAGCTGTTATGTGTATTTCATTGTTAATAGCCGCAGCTGTGCAGAGTGTACAAGTTTACAATGTCCTATAAAAATGATGGCTATATAGTCTCTCTGGATAGAGCTCATGAGCATCACTTATCCTTCAGATTTGAACCCAATCTGAACAACCTTCAGAACACAGGGGCAAGTAAATTATGGATCTATGGTAATGAGAACCAAACCAACCTCACTGTAGAGAAGGGGAACTTGGGTTACTATCTGATTAGTTATGTATATTGCTTTAATGATTCAGATGAGTGAACCATTATGCTAGCTATCTACCCAGTTTAAAAATATCCGCTAATTCTGATACATTCCTTAAGCTTAATCTTTACAGATACTGAAGAGTTATGAAGAATTGTCTGATAGAATGAATGGCAAAGTTATATCTTTGAATGACAAATGCAAGCCTTTGACATTTCAAGACATTCTTGCTCTCTTTGAATCAAGCCCATTATATATTTACCGAGTCTTTCTCAAAGTAAAATAAAGCAAAATAAAAATAGCAACAGCCATCAATGCTTTCCCCTCTTCTCATGTTAACTTTGGCCCAGATGTGACAAATACCACTTCTCCTCACATTCCATTTAATAAAAACTAGTCACAGGTCCCTAAACTTAATTGAGAAGGAGACTGGAAAATGCAGTCAGTCTTTCCATGTGTCCAGAAAGAGGAAATGGAATGACAGTGGTCTAGTCAGATTCTTCAACATTGACTATTAGAGAATGCTTCCATCATTTGGTTACACCAGTATTCTCAGAGATAATAATTTTATTCTCTACAATTTAGAAGGAGCCCTGCTTTTAAGAAACTGAGTGTTTATTGAAGCTCTAAATTGGTGAGTAATTTCACTAGGAAACTTTTGTTTGGTCATTTCTGTTAACACTTATTCAACTGGATAAAGTAACAATCTCAAACAAAGCATCATTCTACACGTCATTCTACATATGCCTCTGATCTCAGTTTGGCACCAATGTCTCACTGTCTTATGATAGTTTTCTTAGAATCCTTGGAAGACATTATTTGATGCAGGATCAGTTGACCTCTATGTTGAAGTTCAAACCTGCCAGACTATCATATTCAAAATACAAGTCAAATAATTCTAAGCAATAATGAACCTTCTCTTTGCTCTTCAACATATTCACTAAGATATATCTCCTCAAGAATTCTTGAAGAATATTATGACTCTATACTGAAAGTTTTCTTTAAAGGGGTATTGTAGAAATTTTACCTCTTGCTTCTTATGGAAATTGTATTAGTTCGTTCTCATGCTGCTAATAAAGACATATCCAAAACTGAGTCGTTTATAAAGGAAAGAGGTTTAATTGACTCACAGTTTCACATGGGTTAGGAGGCCTCATAATCATGGCAGAAGGCAAATGAGGAGCAAAGTCACGTCTTACATGGCAACAGGCAAGAGAACTTGTGCAAGGGATCTCCCATTTATAAAACCATCAGATCTCACAAGACTTACTGACTACCAAGAGAACAGTTTGGGGGAAACTACCTCCATGATTCAATTATCTCCACCTGGTTCTTTCCTTGACATGTGGGGATTATTACAATTCAAGGTGAGAGTTGGGTGGGGACACAGCTAAACCATATTAGAAATCTTCCTAAAACTGTATTTTCATCACATCTTTCTCCAGTTTACCTCACGGCATACATTAAAAGTCTCTGCTTCTCTGTGTCTTCAGTCTCTTAACCACCTTGCCTGTCTCCATTTTCACCTCTGCCTTTCCTGCCCTTTCCCCAATAATATTCAAACACTGTGCTTCTGACAGGTAAACCACCCACACATGTTTCCTTTATCATTAAACAACATTTAATTGACTAATTTTACAGCTATTTGACAAGCTATTAAAGAAAAAAATACGTTTCCTCTGAAATAAATTGCTTTTGCAAGTAAAATTTCACCGAGCAAGGTGTTAAATGTATTTCACAGACTACACGCTACGTGTAAGATTTGTTTCATCCCTTTTCTCATAACACCATCTTGCAAAAGATGCTGGCAGATACTTTTCTGTGGGTTTCCACAATTCCCCAAGGGCATTCTCATTTTAGCTAGTATCACTGTTTTATGCTGTTGACCTTTCTATAACACCTATTATAGAGGATTTTCCCCCTAAAATGCATTTTTAAAACAGCATTTAAATATGCACTTGTGTTTATGTGGGCTTGTTCACTAATGATTTGTACAAGCTAAGTAGTTTTTGTCTTTGCTTTTGCAATCTCTTAGATTACTGTTCATACTTGAGAAAAATAGTTTTGTTAATTTTTCAATATTTAAAATATTTTTATTTCACTGATGATTTATAACTGATTTGAAAAAATATGTTGTCTTTTTTCATTTTATTTTTTAACAAGTTTATGAGAGTTTGAATTGGTATGTATTGGTATACTGACTCTTTTTCAATAACAAAATGATTAGAGCTTATATTCTATCACACTCCTCTTGAGCTTGTAGAGTTTCTTTCATACAATCAGTAATATGCAAATAATACGAATAAATATATATTTTTTTGAGACAGGGTCTTGCTCTGTTGCCCAAGCTGGAGTGCAGTGACGTGTCCTCAACTTCCCAGCATCTGGGCTCAATCAACTTGCCTGCCTTGGCCACCCAAAGTGCTGGGATTACAGGTGTGAGCCAGCACACCCAACCAAGAATATTTTTAATACCATCTTCACTCTGAATATTAGAAATGAAAATTAAAGAAAAAGGATGCACAGTGAGATCAAATTTATGCCTTTTAAAAAATATTCCTGAATTGGACAATTAGAACAGACCCCCCCAAAATGTGCTGTGAGTCACCCAGAGTTAGAAATATTTGATGACAGCTGACATTTCTACCTGGGGGTTAAATAAGAGGTGCTTATATTAACTGCCTCCTCCTTATCTTATCTACAACTGTATTCTAAAATTTGGTGGGGCACACAGTGGGGTGGGCCTAGGTAACATGAACAGAAATGGAATGAGTAGTGGATAGCTCACTACATAGTAATCTATGGCATGAAAATCTGGTTTAAAAAGATTTTCAAAAATACACATTTATGTAATATTTTAAATAAATATTGTAAGTATTATAAATACATTAATTATGGACATTAAAATTCAGTTTGCTAAATCTTTGGAATAATTATATAACTTAGACTAAAGCAGCCAGTTTTGATTTTTTAACTCTATTACTTTTACAATACCATTTTTCTTTCTCGACTTCCTGGGATTACTAAACACCTATGGCAACCAAGGGAGGATGAAATAAAAAAGTCCTTTTTGTTATCCTTCCAATTCACCAGCCCTAAACTCAATATCTTGAAAACATCTCTTTCGCAGTGAGAAATTAATTCTAGCAATCAAAACCCACCAGTGAACATGTCAAACACAATCAAGCCTGGCATTTGCGTTATTACAACATCAATATGATACCTCTGTTGTCCTAGAAAACTTAAGCCATCATTGGGATTATCAATACTAGTATTTTTGCTTTATTTAAGAAATTGATTAGTTTAACGTTGCTGAATGGAAAAATAAACTTCTTGCAGATCAATAGAACACTATTCTCTCCTGTGTGTTTTCTTTCCCCCCTGATAAATGCTTTTGATAAACGCCACTTTTGACTGTTTGCCTAGCTAACAGATTCCACATATTAAGTTTGAGCAGCTGTTGCTGACACACTGTTCCATCCTAAATGTCCTGTTTCCTTTTCAGCAACTCAGCAACAGTCTGGGTACCCAATCATGTGCTGAAGACATAAAATTATTTTGATAGGAATTAATAGAGAACACTAGCCAGTGGATGATATAAGGCTCTCTGAATCATGCCCACACTTTGTAAAAAAGCAAGAATTCTTCATGGGAATAGTTATTAAATCTAGGGAAACTGAGCAATGAATATTGCCCCCAATACTTTATATCACTTAAAGATGACATGGTGAATTAGTCAGGGTTTCCCACAGACACAGAACTAATAGGATATATGTATATATGAAAGGGAGTTTATTAGGGAGAATTAGCTCACCCTAACAAAAGGTGGAGTCCCATTATAAGCCATATGCAAGCTGGGAAAGAGAAAAGCCAGTAGTGGCTCGGTCTGAGTCCCAAAGCCTCAAAACTAGGGAAGGTGACAGTGCAGTCTTCAGCCTGTGGCCCAAGAACGCCCATCAAGCCACTGGTGTAAGTCCAAGAGTCTAAAGGCTGAAGAACCTGAAGTCTGATATGCAAGGGCAGGAGGAGCGGGAGGAAGCATCCAGCACAGGAGAAAAAGAAAGAAGCCAGTACCCCAGCAAGCAAGCTTATCCCATTTCCTTCCACTTGCTGTGTTCTAGCTGCACTGGCAGTGTATTGGATGGTGCCCACCCACACTGAGGGTGGGTCTCTCTCTCCCAGTCTATCAGCTCATATGTCAGTCTTCTCTGACAACACCCTCACAGACACACCCAGAAATAATACTTTACCAGCCATCTAGGCATCCTTCAATCCAATCAAGTTGACACCTAATATTAACCATCACACATGGTAAGAAGTAAAAATCCTAAATTTCAAAAACATTGAGTAGTCGATTCTTAGCTATGACTTGATATGAGCTTACTCCTCTTCCTAGTTCTATCCTCGCTGCATGAGTATACAATGTATATGTGAGTACATATTTATTCTGTCAGTGATGTAAAACAAACAATATTTGTTGGCTATAATTTTAATTAATTTAATGGCTTGTACTCTTCTAATGTTGTATTTGTTTTCTCCTACAAAATTCTCAATCCCATGAGATCAAAGTTTCTGTAATACATGTGGTCTTAATCAAGTCAACATGACAGTACATGTTTGTTGAATGAACGATAAGTGAGTAAGTGAATAATGAAGAAAAATCCTCATGGTGGACATTCTAAATGGGGGAGGCAGAGTATAATTCCCTGTCTCTTCTAAAAGTTGACAACCATTTTGGAGTGCAAAAGTTAATATTGAAATAAAAGTTACATGATTCAAGACAATGACAATGCTGTAACAAGGCAAAGATTCTATGCCACGAGTGAGTGGCACAGACTGTTTTCAGAACAAAGATTGAATCATCAGAGGCTTGGCTGTTTGAGAAAATGTTTTCAGAGGACATAGAACTTGAACTCAATCATTCAGAAAATATCATTTGAGTGTCTACTGCATGCTGAGCTCTGTAATAAATATTCGATATGCATTGTCTCATTGAAATCTCACATGTCCAGGAAATGAGTGTCTTGATTATCCTATTTTACCTATAGGGAGACTGAGGTATAGGGAGGTTAACAACTTACATAAAACTAGGAAACAGTGAAGTCAGGATTCAAAATCAAGTAGTCAGATGGCAGACACCTTTGTTCCTATCTACTACCCCATGTGCCCTTCCTAACCGAGTCTCAAAAAAAAAAAAAAGTAAAATATATAGGTGAAGGGGAGAGAAATATAATTAAATGCGTGGAAATGGCAATTCACAAGAATACTTCAAATGATTTAAGAAACTGGAGTTAACAAGCCTGATTATCCTAAGGCCACCTTATATTGAAATAATAAAATAGTGATAATGATTAGAACCATCTTTTTTGAGTTCTTTCAATGTGTCACACACGGTGCTGAGCACTTTATGTGTAAAGTCCCATGGATGCCCATGATGCCCTCTGTGATCTGGTTAAGAGTCTGAATTCCAGCAGGTAGTAAAGATACGTAGGGCCAGGTTAAGGTGCTTGTCTTTCACTCTAAATGAAGAGACACTTAAGGTTTTCAAGAAGTGGAATAATACACTAATACTAATGAATATTTCTATGTAAATATTATACACATTTCTAATGACTATAGTTTGTGAAATCTTATAAAAAAGATACTTTAGCAAGATTAATCTACTGAGATTGGAAAGGACAGATTTCCCGTGTATGAGAATGAGTGTGTGCATATGCATGTGTGTTGGAGAGGGGAGCCACGTTCTCTGAGAATTTAAGAGCAGGGATTAATTTGGATATCGAGCAATAATGATGATCTGAAATAATAATGATCTGAAAAGCATTGGCAACATCGTGAATGAAGAATGGGATAGATTGTGTATGTGGAAGGAATGATTAGAACAAAGTAAAAAATTAAATACATTTTGAACATAAGAACATTAGCAAAATCTTTTTGTAGTTTCAAGCTAGGAGAAGAAGAGAGTCCAAATACTTCAGTCAGAAACTGGATGCTGTACCGATGAGTGTCTTTCTACTTACCAACTCTCCATCTGCATCCTATGACTTGAATTTGGGGGTTCTGTGTGGTACTCCAGTCTCTCATAAGACTTCCCTTTGCCCAGGACCTGATATGGGAAATGACTAAACCTTGGCTGTCAGAGATGTCTTTGTTTGTCAATTTGTTTGAAACAATTACCTGATCTGAACAAAATCAGTGAATGAAGGTGGATGTGGGTCTGTTTCCTCTACGGCTTCTCAGGATGCATTGTAGCACCCAGAGCAGCTGGCAGGGGGGAGTGGAGCTGCATATATTCTAATATGGTTAACTTATTCTAATGAGCTGCATTCTCTAAAATCAGACTTGCTGATGTTGTCAGGAAATAAATTTAACTCCCCCGCACAAATAGATGTGAGACTGAATTCTGTGATACGTTTTATTTTCCACAAGGTAATCAAGATTCATAAAACTCCGATTTAGGATCCGGGCATCAGGAAGTCATGTCCTTGAGGGCAACAAAATCTCGTAATAAGAAATGTGTTTCAATGCTCTTATTCTTATGGGATCTGATAAATGGAAACAGCAGAGTTGAATCGTACTCTCTTATTTAGCTTCATTGTCCTTTCTGCTCTGTAAGTCATTCAACACCAAGGTAAGGAAATATGTAAAATGTGCAGTATTTACTTCTGGATCAGAAAATACTACTCAATCAAAAGAACAGAACATGAAGTGGGTAGCACATTACATTTTAAGGTTATCAATATCTTCAATATTATGCTAAATTCTTAAATCTCCCTTTAATGGTCAAAAATCAAGGTAACATCTCTTTTTTTCCTCTTTTCCCTGGAATTATTAACTTCAAGGCGGAAGGTGATGAGACCATCCCCAGTCTATCCTTTTCACCTTTCCCACCCCACCTCCAGCCCCCCAGTGCATTATCACCAATAGCTCTCCAAATAACAACCCATTAAGGAGAGATTTGGCAGCAAAATGAGAGCCAGTAGAGTAAGAGCTAAGAAGTATGATCACATGTAATTTTTAAAACTTGCTTATTTTAAAAACATGAAATACTTTCAACTGTTGTAATGTAACTCATAAAAAGCCCCAAGTGCATGGCTGGACTGAGGTACACTCAGAACTTCCAGGGCCAGCATTCCGAGTTGAAAGTCAAGATTGATAATACACAGTATTCTATACCTGATACTTAGAATCCACTGAAGACAAGTTTTCATCACTAAAATAAAAATAATTAATAGCACACTTAAGTATTTTCTATTAAATGTGGAAAACAAAATCCGCTCACGGAGTCAATTTACCTTGTTAGACTTCCTGGGTGTGTGACCCTGAAAACCTGAAGGAATCTGCTGCTTGTAACTTTGAAAATGCCAGTGCTGTGTCTGTGATCAGGAAAACACAAGATAATGGGTAAAATGACCTTCGGAGGAAGTAAAGGAGGAAGTAGTAGTTTGACAGACATGTAGAAAATGTGGAAGTAAATTATGAAAGGCAGAATGTATTGATTAAATATTTGGTTGTGGGAAATGTAATTTCTTTAGTTGTGGAATATATAAAGAGTTGGCCTGATGAGATGGTGATGTTGGTCAATGTGTTTAGTAAGGCTTTTATCATCTATTCTTAGATATAAGACAGGAAAAGACACTCAAGGGGAGATATGCTGCCATTACACTTAGAAAGAAATGCAGGATTCATTCCACAGAATCTGTACATCCTCATGTGAGTGATTCTCCATGTGAGCTATTCTCAGCTGATGCATAGGTATCACACCCAGGGATTCTGATTGAATTGGTTTCAGGTATAGCCTAGGCAGTGGTAGTTTTAAGGGTTCCCCAGGTGACTCAAATATGATACAAGGATTAATAAACATTACCCCCATGCTAGAACTAATGATTTTCTCTAATAATATTTACCACTCTCACCTTTCTCCCAATCTCCACAATATCCCACCCCCAATGAGCCCATCTGCTGTTAGAAGAGGCCAAGTCCACTTCCACCTGAGGACTTTGTATGTGTTGTTTTTTATTGCAATGTTCTGACACTGACCACTCCTTTCTTTCACTGTTTTCAGCCCTTGTAGATAGCTGCGGGGATGGCTCATTCAAATGTCACCATCTCAAACAGGTCACTTTTGACCTTACATCTAATCTAAAAAGACTCCCCATTCACATTAATCCTCAGCAGTTCGAAATCTATTTTATTTTCTTCATGGCATTGATCACTATTGGAAATCCTCACTCAGCCAGGCCTTTTCTGTTTGCTAGCTGACAGCACTCACTACAAACCAAACTGCATTGTCCTTCTCGTGCTGTTTACTAATGTGGCCTTTGTGCCTAAAACCATGCCTGGCACATAGGAGCATTTGCTAAATATTTACTGAGTAAATGAATGAGTGAGTGAGTTGAGTGAATGAAATGTAAACTGAAAAAGACAATGCATAGGAAAGTATTTCTGGACCATGAGTTATTGGTTACTAAATCCCAGTGCCTTCCTTATATTACAGAATACATTTAATCTCCTTTCTATGTAACAGCATTTTTCTTCTCTAGGCCTTTTTTTTTTTTTTTTAACTTTCTCAAAGCAATAAGTGAAACAGACTTTGGATCAAAGAATGTGCGGGCACATGTGCCAATAACCAAAACAATTTTCTATCACAAAATTCAATCAGGGCTTCTTTAATCAGGACATAAATCTTTCAGACACACATCACAGACTGTACCACATAAGACCATAACTGCTTTTTTTTTTTTTTTTGCTTTTTCCCCCATCCATTTTGCAATTACAACCTATCAGTGGAAGAGGAACAGCACTGAAGTAGCATAGAGAAAGCAATATCCTGAAAAAGCAGTTTTAAACATGATGAACTTGGTACTTTTAGTTTGTCTCAGTCTGCAATTTCAACTCTCATAGGACTCAATGAAATGGAATCAGGCAATGCCGATCAATAATCTGAAATTCTGTTGTAAAGGGTATAGTATAAAATAAACATTAAGAGCTACAGACTGTTCTTCTATCAGCAACACCCTAATTTCTTCTAAGCCTATGGAATTTTAAGAGTGATAGCGAGAACTTTTTACCTGTAAACATTGCACACATTTCCTCTTTTTGTTCAACCCAGTGAGAGCATTTGATGAGAAATGCTGAGTTTATCCTGAACAATCTTTTCATCCGTTTCATATATTTGTCATAAAATGTGACCATCTGAGTGTTGGCTGTATTTAGCAATCAACATATACAAAAGAATGAAAAAATGCAAAAAAATCGTATCAAATAGTAATTTTTTGGAAAAAAATAAGTAAAAGTCTATTACTTAGAGAAATTTTAATGGAAATATTGTTAGTTCATTCAAACTAATCAAAGAGTTAATGATAGACAAACTTATTATATATTGTTTTTTGAAACTTGGAGTTTGGGATTTGCAGTGGTAAGAATCATGAAAGTGGAAGGGCAAGGAAGAAGGATAAGCTGCCCTATTCTCATAAGCTTTAGGTTAATAAGCTCAAAAGATATCTGTATGGTGCCCAAAAGTAATGCATACTTTTCCACAGTGTAACCTAACTGTGGAATTTATGACCAGCAGTATAATATATCTGGGTCAGAAAACACGCATTAAGGTCTAGACTGGATACCAAAGCATAGAAAAATGTTTTTGCATAGAAAAATGTCTTAATACGAGGATCTCATACAATAGGGGTCCCCAGCCCCTGGACCACGGACTGGTACCATAGGTCAGTGGCCTGTTAGGAACCAGGATGCCACAGCAGTTGGGGAGCAAGCATTACCACCTGATCTCTGTCTCCTGTCAGATCAGCGGTGACATTAGGTTCTCATAGGAGCGTGAACTCCATTGTGAACTGTACATACAAGGATCTAGGTTGCGTGCTCCTTATGAGACTCTAAAGCCTGATGATCTGAGGTGGAACAGTTTCATCCTGAAACCATCCCTCCACGAAACTGGTCCCTGGTGACAAAAAGGTTGGGGACTGCTGTCATACAATATAAGAACATTCATAAATGCATTGTTATATCAAATGTAAAAAAAAGATACGTTTTAGTTCTGTGCATGTAATTTATTTTACAAAATGGAATTCTAACATTCTGTTCTATAGATGGGTTTGAAGAGGTTTTTTTCAATTAAAATCTAAAGTTTTAATTTTAATGATGTTTCAAATATCCAAAGATACAAACACTCATCCCCCAAATGTAACAGATGTTGTCATTTTCCTATATTTTCTTCAAAGGTATCTCTCATTTTTCAAATAAAGGAAAAGTTATAGATACCATTTTATCCCCATCCTCAATAACTCTCCACCATTTCTCAAAGTTAATCATTATCTGGAAATTAGAGTCTTATTTTCTTAATTCCCATCAATCTATCTTTTAGGTCTCTTTATTGCTGTTTCGTGCTTTGTGTCTCTTTGTCTCTGTGGGCAGTGATCTGGGGATTCTTCATTTACTAACTACGTGATTTCAAGCAACATACCCTCTATATATCAGCTTAATTTGTAAAATGTTGGCAACAATAGTGCTTATTTTATTGGGTTGCTAGAAGATTAAGTGAGTCATTTGTGAAGCACTTAGAAAAGAACCTGGCATACAGTAAGCATACTTAAAAGTTTGTAAATCAAATTCCTCAAAGATATACTTCATTATTTCTTTCCTTGTCTCCAAACTAGAGTTTACCTCATCCATGGTAATTTTCTTTATCATTTCAATACTATGTCTTCATTGCCAATATTTCTAATTGGTTCTTTTTAACCCCCTATTCTTGTTTTATTTCTGCCTCTGTTTTTTATTCCACACATTTTTGGTCTTTTAAACTGGATATTATCCTTTAATTTGCTTTTTATAGCTTTGTTCATAAGATTCTATGAAATTCATTTATTGAATAAATTCCTATTTATATTTTTATTTGTTGGCTATCATTTTTGTCAACTCTTTTACTTTACGTGTTATTTCTTTATTTTCTGCTTGATTCTTTCCTCCCCTTTACCCCAAATCAGCTACCTGCCTACAAATCTTGTGTTAGCAATTTGATGTGGCCTTTTCGTATTTTGCTTCACACACATACACACATACACAGAGAGAGATTTGGAGACATACTTTTATAATATGGCATGTATCAAGGTATATTTTGTAGAATACATGAGAAAAATATTAAAAGATATGATATAAGTATCCTGCAATCAAACAGTTTTGGGAAACACTGCATCAAATAAAATTGAATAGGTTTCTCTACTGCAAGATTTCTTGATGCATTTATCATAGAAATGTGTGCAAACTGTGTATTCCCCCAAATCATTCAACAAGAGGACACTTTCTTAACAGGTAAATTCATGTATTAGTATTATGAGGAACAGGCTTTGGGAAGTACTATATAATCTTTGCAATGAGAATTATTTAATCTTTAACTGTAAGTTCAGCTTTGATCTATTTAGAGACCAGACATATTCCAAATCAAGGGACTAGTAGGCCATTCTGTTAACTCTATTCCATCTTCCTATTTTGCATAGAGAACTTGGATTCTTAACCCCTTACCTGGTAATCAAGCCCCTGACTAATACCTAAGGATCAGAAAAGAGGTATTTGTCCTGGTTTCCTGCCTTGGCCAAGATCTGGGTGGGATCCTGACCCAAAAACCCAAATAGTCTACTCCACAATCCTCCTAATAATTAGCTCCGTCATCACCATGTGAGCCAGCACACAGGGGTCTATGGCATCCAATTTATTCACTTTTCACTCCTTATCAATACAGGTCAAAAGAAAATACAAAATAGATTATAGAAAAAAACAACAAAATGTGAAAGGAATGATCATAAAGTGTTTTGAACTTAGGTATTTATTGAAGTAAGGCTATAGCATGAATTAAAAGGCTATGTCTTTTTATCATCTCTAGTTTACTTATCGCTAAATTAACATATAATACACATAGCATTATGCTGGCATAGTATAGGCAATAAATGTTAATTCATATTATTCTGACATTGTTCAAGTAAACGCGCATAGCCAGGATTTCTTTATAAAGTGAAGAATATCTAACAAATGTGAGACCACATAAAAATATGTGATACTTTTATGGATCAAATTATGTCTAATAAAGCATAATTATATTTAACAGTGACCTAAGGTACCCCCCAAAATCATAAAAACTAGAACAAACATCCACCTCATGGATCTCGTACTATATGTCAAGCACTTCTCTGGGTACCTTACATGCCTATGATATTTGTTTGTTTGTGCATTTATTTATTTATATTTTTAACTGTTATTTTAGGTTCAGGGGTACACGTGAAGGTTTGTTACGTAAGTAAACTCATGTCATGAGGGTTTATTGCACAGATTATTTCATCACCCAGGAATTAAGCCCAGTACCCAATAGCTATCTTCTCTGCTCCTCTCCCTCCTCCCACCTCCCACCAACAAGTAGAACCCAGTGGCTGTTGTTTCCTTCTTTGTGTTCATAAGTTCTCATCATTTAGCTCCTGCTTATAAGTGAGAACATGCGGTACCTGGTTTTCCGTCCCTCCGTTAGTTTGCTGAGGATAATAGCCTCCAGCTCTAACAATATGCATATGCTATTTAATAGATAAAAAACTCCTATGAAGTTGCCCAGGATCATATAGCTAGTATATAAATGTGACTGGGTTCAAACCCTGGCCATTGATAAAAGAGTCCTTATTATATTTCCTCTACTATACTTTCTTCCTATTAACTCTCACTTGGCATGGGATATATATTTAACAATAAAAAGTGTGTTATAATGAAAATAAATGGAAAACCAAAAATTAAGGGGAAAATCATGTCATATTCTAGACAGGTAGACTATGCTGGTCATCTCATGTGGTCTCCCATCTTTATAAGAGGAACTGAATCAGATATATAGACATTGTTTGTTTGTTTCAGCAAAATATCAATTCTGATTACATCTTAAGTTTGGCATTTTGTATGACTAACAACTTTTGGAGAATTTCTACTTAATGAAAAAGAGAGAGATGCTGAAAAATTATCTGGGTAGAAGGCAAACACTTTAAATGTATTACAGAAATTGGAGTCAATAAATACTCAAGAGAGTAATTGTCCAATAAATGAGAGAGTGACAAATTTAGTAAGTTTCAAGAAATAAAGGTTGATCAAATACAAAATGCGCACTTTTGCCAACAGTAGAATATTTCTGACTTCTAAAGATGGGACTCGGCCGGGCGCGGTGGCTCACGCCTGTAATCCCAGCACTTTGGGAGGCCGAGGCGGGCGGATCACGAGGTCAGGAGATCGAGACCATCCCGGCTAAAACGGTGAAACCCCGTCTCTATCTCTACTAAAAATACAAAAAATTAGCCGGGCGTAGTGGCGGGCGCCTGTAGTCCCAGCTACTTGGGAGGCTGAGGCAGGAGAATGGCGTGAACCCGGGAGGCGGAGCTTGCAGTGAGCCGAGATCCCGCCACTGCACTCCAGCCTGGGCGACAGAGCGAGACTCCGTCTCAAAAAAAAAAAAAAAAAAAAAAAAAAAAAAAAAAAAAAAAAAAAAAAAGATGGGACTCAATGACTCCAGGGGAAAAAAGAATATTCAAAAGATAAGTAACAATAAACTAGCAGTGAAAATAAGTACATGGTAAATAATTCACATGCAGAAAGTCCAGTACAAGTCTCGCCAGTGAGTGAAAGATGATTAGACACAACCTAAGGATGCAGCATTAAGTTTTTATCATTGTTGTTGAAAAGACTGGAAAGGAAGCTTGAAGGAAAATAAAGACTGAGGCCTTGCATTCTGCATAGTGGTACAAAGTCATGTATTTGACAAGCTTGTAACTCCCACATGATTATATTCACATATAAATCTAGTTGAGTTGTCTTCAAAATGATCAATAAATCTTACAGAGATGCATTTGCCAATTATTCTCAATCAATGCAAGAAAGAATATCTTTTAGAACAGAGCAAGTAAACAATCAAATTTTATTCTCTTCTGAACACCATAATCATCTCTAATTTTTCAAAACAATTCTTAAACCTTTACTAGCATCTAATAAGTGCCTTTCATTTTGTTATGCATCAATAAAAAAATGTTAAAATCATGATATTTAAAAACTAAGTTTCCTAAGTAATCATCTGGACTCTAAATTGGAGACTAACATCCTTGTGGGGATGACATCCTCACTCAGGCTGTGACTCATTGATGCTCATAAAGTCAGTTCCTTACTAGGTTGTCAGTCAATTTCTTACATTATATTAGACATTAACTTATCATGCAATTTGTTAAGGCTAATCTCTCTCTCTCTCTCTCTCTCTCTCTCTCTCTCTCTCTGTCCCTCTCCTCATTCCAAAGGAAATTAAGGAAATAGCTAGACAATAGTTTGGCTCTGTGTCCCCACCCAAATCTCATCTCAAACTGTAATCCCCATGTGTCAAGGGAGGGACCCGGTGGGAGGTGACTGAACCGTGGGGGCAGTTTCCCCTATGCTGTTCTCATGATAGTGAGAGAGCTCTCATGAGATCTGAGATCTGATGGTTTTATAAGGGGCTCCTCCTCCTTCCTGCTCTCTTTCTCTACTGTTGCCTTGTGAAGAAGGGGCCTGTTCCCCTTTGCCTTCACCATAATTATGTTTCCCAAGGCCTGCCTGGCTGTGCAGAACTGTGAGTCAATTAAACCTGTTTCCCTTATAAATTACTCAGTCTTGGGGGGATTTCTTTATAGCAGTGTGAAAACGGACTTATACAGGGGTTTATGCTTACATGTTGAAAATCAGTAAGTCCTTGGCCCTATGTTTTTATCTCATTTTGCTTAGCATAACAATTATAATCTCCTGGCAATATTTGACTTCACCTTTTGACCTATGTTGAATTCCATGTCCACATTTACTGTAAATATCACTTGATCACTTTTTTCTGTTTTGCTTCAGTTTAGCAGCTAATATATTCTAAACTCATTTTGTAGGCAAACACATTTTCATATATAAATTCCTTTGACTTTAATTATACAATATATTGGAAATTTTCCACATTTCTTTTGTCTTCTGTTTACTTTCTGTATATCTAAGCTACCATTCTGCAAGCCACGCATTAAGAAAGGCCTCATTCTCCTTACATTTCCTGAATATGTTTTGGAAAGAGTTAGGCACTTACGCATTTGTGTCTATTTGTTGTGCACTAAGACAGAAAATGAATAGTATTTTGCTCATTGGGGTTTGGCAATGTTGTATAATTTAAAAACATAAAGCCTTTTCAATCGCTTAATCCTTTCTTTCTCTTCCTTTCCAATGCCCAATACATAAAACAAAACAAAACAAAAAACCAAATAAGCAAGTAAGTAGAAAATGCTTTGTTGAGATAATAGCAGGACAACTTCACTTCTGTTATTGCCTTCGTATTTAGCTATGTCATTGTTTCATATACGGAAGAAGACTAGATTTCCTAGCTTTTCAGTACCTAGTTTTTTTTTTTTTTTTTTTTTTTTTTTTTTTTTGCTTTATTTTGAACTGAGTTGGGGAAAACACTGGTTTTCTAGAATTATTTTTTCTTTCTCAGACCCAGCATAAGAAATGAATAAAATGCATATGAATGGTGATGCTGTTTGCAGATATAAAGTTAATAAAGAGAGTTTAAGATGACTTTTTTGCCTAGTAAATGTTAATAATAAACACACAGTTTTCTTCTTATGAGTTTAAGATCACTTATGTATTATATATTTTCAGCAACCTGAATAGTGAGGTACTTGGTATCAATAACCACCACAGAAAAGATCATGAAGATATCTAAAGAAATTTAAAATAGAGCAACCATATGATCCAGCAATCTCTCTTCTGGGCATATATCCAAAGGAAATGAAATTGCCACCTTGTAAAGATATCTGCACTCCCATGTTCATTGCAGCATTATTCACAACAGCCAACATATGAAAACAACCTAAGTGTACATCAACAGGCAAATGGATAAACTGTGATGTGTACATAAAATGAAATATTATCCAGCCATAGAACAGAATGAGATCTTGCTATTGGCCACAATGTGGATGAGTCTGAAGGACATTATGCTAAGTGAAATAAGCCTGACACAGAAAGAGGAATATTGCATGATCTCACTTATATGCCGACTCTTAAAAAATAATTCAATTATACAAAGATAGAGAACAAAACAGTGGTTACCAGTTTGGGTGGGGAGGAAATGAAAGATGTGGGTCATAGAATACAAAGTGTCAGATATATAGAATGAACAAGTCTAGAGATCTAACGTACAATATGGGGACTATAGGTAATAAAATTGCACTGTATTTGAGACTCATGCTAAAAGGGTAGATTTTAGCTTCTCTTGCCACAAGAAAGATGGGTAACTATGTGAGCTGATGCATATGTTCATTCGCTTCACTATAGTAACCTTTATACTATATATCCACCATAATATCATTTGTACACCTTAAATATACACAATAAAATTTATTTTTAAAAGATAAAGCAGTTTGGTCAAATTATGACACCAGGACACAAGTCAAAATTTTCAAATATAAAACCAGTGTTCTTACTTTGTCCTGTAACGTATGAAAATCAAACTGCAACTTGTTTCTTGTCAGTGCTAAGCAGCCCTTTTATTTATCTCCTGCTGGCTCCTCAGTATGTGCCCAACCTAAGTTGTTTCAGACGTTTTCTATTCTCTTCTAAGTTCTACTATTCCTTGCCCTTCTCAACAGGTGATCCCACTCCCCATGTAACTGGGAAGGTTGAGTTCATGAGCTCCTGCTTTCATCTTTGTCCCAACTCAATCTATCTCTCTGTTTGCCCCTACCTTTTCATCTTTCTTCCAGGTTTCAGAAAAAAAAAAAAAAAAAAACCCTCATCTTTTCTTTTTATGTCTGAAGTTAGTTCCTCCTTTCTGACCTCAGATTCCATCATGTCCCACCTCCAGAGACACTTCGCTGCCATTCTTACCCCTCTGGTTTTGAGCTCAAGTTGTCCTTTTTAATTGGATCTCTTCTGTCAGCTTCACTCATGCTCACATTTTCCCTAATGTTCTTCTCATCCTCATTCTCTTATCCCTGTAGCATGTGGACACTCTGTATGACACTATTTCTCTGAAATTAGTTGACAGTGACTTCCTCTTTTATGAACAGTTTGTCTTCTTCCCTTGCACAAAATTCATCTAAGAACTACATGTGGATCCTCTTTTTGCTTTTTATCAAATAGTTATTAGATATCCAATTTATTTTCCCAAATCAGCCTCATCTAAATCTACATGTTTAATTCTTAGCCACTGCAGCTCCAGTTCATATCACCAAATTCCTTTAGACATTTCCATTTTCCATCATTTCCACATCAACACATGCAATGGTCCTATCATATGAAACACCTAGTTGAATAACTACAGTACTGAATGAGGAATTTATTTTTACTTGGTATTAATGATATAATTTTAATATGCTAAAGACAAATTAGCCTTGGTTTCTCCCAGGTTTTGAGCTTCTAGGTTTTCTGTAAGTATAATTATCTAAAAAAGATGACAAAGTTTTATATTTGATAGTCTTACACTTACTTTAAAAGCAATAAAATGTTGTTGCTGAACATAATGTTTCAGATCCCATTAGCCCTATAATTTAATGATTCCGTATTTCTCAGCCCTATGTACTTAGGTCAAATTTATACAATAATTAGATTCTTGTGAAGAAGAAAAGAGGATTATTCCATAACTCTTTACTCAGAATTCTATATTTTTTCATAATGTATAAAAATGTAGGAGATGCATTCTTGTTAAGTTTATATACATTCTAGTCATATTATTTTTTGATAAACTACATTAACCAGGAAAATAAATGCTTTAAGGATAAAAAGTTAGACATAAAATTTATTCATGAAATAAGAAAACTCCCATTGATTGACTGGGCGCAATGGCTCACACCTGTAATCCCAGTATTTTAGGAAGCCGAGGTGGGTGGATCACGAGATCAGGAGTTCCAGACTAGCCTGGCCAAGATGGTGAAACCCCGTCTCTACTATAAATACAAAAATTAGCCAGACGTGGTGGTGGCTACCTGTAATCCCAGCTACTTGGGAGGCTGAGGCAGGGAATTGCTTGAACCCGGGAGGCAGAGGTTGCAGTGAGCCGAGATCGCACCATTGCACTCCAGCCTGGGCAACAGAGTGAGACTCCGTCTCAAAAAAAACAAAACAAAACAAACATTGATGATTTCTAATAGTTCTACAATTATTAGCCTTATTGTTCTATAACTTCATTGTATTTATTTATTTAATACAAACTACTTTTTTTAGTAAGGTGATGTGTGAGTCAAAATTCAACCCCAAAGTTCATCGCATTTCAGTTCTTCTTTATATTGGAGGCGTCTCTCAGATGCTTTGCATTCATAATTTCATTAAAAGTTTTCAAAAGGAATGCACTTAGTTCCAGAGTTTGTGGAGTTCCATCTCAAAGGATCTGGACAAGGAAATCTTCATCATGCAGGGAAGAGAGTCCTAATGCTATCATTTGTCTACCCACCATCTTTTGTGACTGCCTGTCCAGTGAAGATCTCCAAAAGGTCAGCAGGCATTTCGAAACATATTTTTCCAAATAGGTACATACATATTTTTATAAACCATTGATATCTTCATTGCTACATTCATAAAATGCATAAATTAATTGTTAGCATAAATATGCTATACTACGTCTGCTGAATTCTATTTTACAAAGAGATTCTTTTATAAAGGAAAATTTAGACACTAAAGTCTAATCTTAACTTTTATCAATTACTGCTTAATCTTATCCTGTCTTCTCAGCAGGTTGGAATGTGGAATACATTTTAAATTTTAATCATTGTTTCAGATCATTATATCTAGAGTAACATTTACATGGAATTGAGGATTTAAACAAATGTATAAAGTGTTTTTATCTCAGTGGGCAAACTATCGTTATTATCTACTTTTATCACTTTTCTCTCTTTTCTCCCTCCTAGAACTGAATCTTCATTCTTTGCATTTTATTGTATTTCATAATCTGGATCTCATATTTCAGGACTAAAAAAATGTAAGCTTACATTAATGATAGTTATTTCATAGCTTAGTCAATTTATTCAGTAGAACTAATATATCTAACTTAGGATGGAATTTATCTTGTACCCAGACGTCCCTATAAGAAGGAGTACATTATTGAGTTCACATAGCACACTTAAACATATGTAAAGCATCAACCACAGCAGGTAAGTCTACAAATTATGAGCAGATGTATACTTGTACTCCATGGATGTCAAATGCTGTGCAAATTTCAATGATATGGGCCACAATGTTTGGTGACAATGCAGAAATTTGGATTTTATAAAATAAGACCTTCATCTGGCAAAATACAGGGATTTTATTTCCAGGTTGACATCATAAAGCCAAAAGAAAATAAATATTTTCTGTCTGTGAACAAGTATAAACATATGTCTTCTTACTTTAAACACATATGAAAATCTCTTTTCGTCTCTGTATGACTTCACAGTGCTAGCATTGCCCCATTGTCTGTCCCTGTCCCCGTCCAGACTCATGGGTATGCTGAACCACTAGAGATTCATTCAGGTCAGTGTGGGAGGGGAGGTGGGAACACATCTGCTGAAAGGAAGCAAAGCAGAAATGAACCAGATGGCAGGCGTAATGAGGGTGAAGAGCAGAAAGGAAAATTCCCCTAAGATATACCAATGGCATTCTACCTGTGCTGAAAGAAAAGAGGACTGAAAAGGGAGCCAGCATGGTTTCTGGACATCTGAATGAGCTGACTCAGTTGGGGGCTACTGTGTAGGATTACATTTAGAGTTGGTTAGGAAAGAGGGAATGAATGAAATGGGGAAGGAAGGTAAGCACATTTTGCCTGATTTCTTTTGTGAGAACAATTCTCCAGCTTCAGAAATCACAAATATTTACCAGCAATTAACAGGTTTCTTGTTCGAATCATCATCAGTTCTGTAAAAGATTAATTTCTTCTGGTTCTAATCATCATCAGTTCTGTAAAAGAGTAATATTTTTTCTTTTTCTTTTTCTTTTTTTGAGACAGTCTCACTGTATCACCCAGGCTGGAGTGCATGACACAATCTGGGCTCACTGCAACGTCTGCCTCCTGGGTTCAAAAGATTCTCATGCCTCAGCCTCCAAAGTAGCTGGGATTACAATGCATGTGCCACCATGCCTAGCTAATTTTTTTTTTTTTTTTTTTTTTTTTTTTTTTTTTTTTTTTTTTTTTTAGTATTTTTAGTGGAGATGATGGGGTTTTGCCATGTTGCCCAGGCTGGTCTCAAACTCCTGGCCTCAAGTGATCTGCCTGCCTCGGCCTCCCAGCGTGCTGGGATTACAGGCGTGAGCCATCGCACCTGGCAAGAGTAATTTTCTTTAAAAATACTGGACCAATCCAATACTTCCACGACCAAGAATCTCCTTCCCTCACTACAGCCTTTTCTAGTGTGCTACTCTTTATGAAAAAGAAAGAAATGGCTTATTTAATTTGCCACAGTCTGCAGAAATAAAACAGAAGACATTTAGAGATTCTAAAGATATTAAAAGATTACTGGTTTTACATCATTTACTTACAGTAGAATTGACCAAAACCAAACATCCTCTTAGTTATTTCATGTATAAAAATTAGGTCAGTGAAGTAAAAGGGATCAGAAAGCTTTGTTATAGCAAACTGTTCAGAACATGTATTAGTTGAGCTTCAGTTTATGCAAATATAAGACCTTTTGATTTCCTTTCTCTATCACAAGGAAACTGCTAATACTACCAAGGACCAATGTCATTTCTTCAGAGGACAATAAAATAGTTTGCATATGTATTTTTATATGTCTGTATATATGTGAAAAAAGAAGGTGATTCCCAGGAAAAAGAGGAGAGAAAGAAGAGATAAGCCAGAGCAATAATCTCACTGCTCATTCATCCCTAAAATTAGGACTGTCACAACTTGGAATGATGCAAACAAAGTTTTATATTTTTTTCTAGATTTTCATTTGATAAGAAAAAAATGAAATGCTGTTTTACCTTGGAAAAATATGTTACCAAGGAGATTTGGATGAGTATGCATTATTCCAGAAACTACCAAAATTGAAAATGAACAAATTGACTGAGAATTAGAGTAAAAGTTACAGGTCACCACCTGCTCCTTGCATTATATAGAGAAATGGGATTATAGCAGCAATAGTGATTATACTGATGACATACACATATACACACATACATATACATACCAGGTGGCACAAGATCTCTTGAAACCATTTCAAATTAGCTCTGATACAATTTATTTAAAGGTATTTCTTACCTCAAGAACAATCAACAGTGAAATATCATTATTCTGTGATGTCCTGTAATGCTATCCCCTACAGCAGAAAATATATGTTGTAAGAGTTCGCTGTATTTTATCTTAGGGTTTTCTTAGAGTAATATTGACATTTGACATAACCCTAATTTGAAGCAAAATACAACTTTAAAATATATTTTTTTAGTGCTGAAATTTTCCTAATTCCATGTTGAATAAGGAGACAGTTAATAGAATTTGAAAGAAACTTCTAATAACTCTGATGAAATAATATGTTTTCATGACCTTAGGGAGTTCTCCCTAAATGCAGGACTATCTTTTTTCTGCCATACTAATAGTTATCCTGCAAAGAGTAAGCTGAATGATCCAGGTGGAAGCAGAGATAATGATACTAGTTAGAAATACAAGTTCCTCATGATAAGAGGACCTGATATTTAATAAGTACTCATGAGGTACTAGCCACTACTTTAAAGGCTTTATATGTATGATAGTATTTAATTACACAATTACCCTATAATGAAACTATAATCATTCATATCCTATAGGAGAAAAAATAGATCCAGAGGTGTTCAGTAACTTTCTTAGGGTTCACACAGCTAGAAAGTTGCAGAGCTTGACTTGAAGCCAGGAGCCTAGATTTAACCACAGTGTGACCCTACCTTTCATCAGGACAGCCTTAATACTCAGGAAATAACAGGCTAAGTGTGGTGGCTCGTGTCTATAATCTCAGTGCTTTGGGAGGCCAAGGCAGGAGGATTGCTTGAGGCCGGGAGTTCAGGAGTTCAAGACCAGCCTGGACAACATAGTGAGACCCTGTCTCTTCAAAAAATATCAAAAATTAGCTGGGTATGGTGGCGCATGCCTGTAGCCCTAGCTACTCAGGAGGCTGAGGCAGGAGGATTACTTGAGGCCAGGAGTGCAAAACTGTAATGAGCTATGATTTTGCCACTACACTCCAACCTGGGAGACAGAGCGAAACTCTGCCAAAAAAAAAAAAAGAAGATTGTATTCTCCAATGTTAATCTTAAGAGGTAACATCAACGATTTATATATTTATTCATTCAGTCAATGATTATCATAATCACAGCCATATAATAAATGATATATGCAATAAAAAGTTTTCTAAACCACCTATAAACTCACATAAAGACTTAAATTCAAGAAACAGAATACAACATGTAATTGAGAGAGTAGAATTTAGTTTAAGAACCAGTAGCAGAAATATATAAATAGAGAGAACTGTCTTCATTTAGCAAAGCACGTCAGAAAATAACTAGTCTACAGACTTGGCCGAAATTGAGGAGTTTTGAAGCAAAGAGACAACAATAACTCAAGTGTACTATATAATAAACTAAGAGGAGTTTTGCATTTCCCAAGTAAGGCCTTCAGAGAGGAGTAAGGGAGCCAGAAAAAAGAGGGAAAGAAATGGAAGGAGAACTCATAGACTCTACCTGGAATATAACCACTGAAGAATTCCTGAAGGTGGAAATGGCTGAATATGTTTTGAAAATAAGACACTTATCTTTCAATTTTAAGTTATTTGCATAATAATGCAACCCTCCCCTGACCATGCTGCTTTTTCACTGTAAACAAATGGTCCTCAAAGCAAAGTGTCATCCTCTGACCGACAACCTCAGGGGATGCAAGCCCTGTTAGAAATGCAAATTCTCAGAAGCCTCCCCAGACCTACTGGATGTGGAACTTTGGGCTCTGTATCATCTTAACCAGCCCTCCAGAGGATTATAATGTGTGCTGAAGTTTGAGAAACCTCTGACCGAAATCTCAGCAAAAGTCTTCTGTGTCCTCAATCTCGTGTAAGTGGCACTTTGGGAAATGGAAAACTTGGGTCAGTGTCCAGCAGAGATGTCATAAACAAGAAATGAGATGTAAAATAAAGATAAGAAATTTACCCAGAAACACAAAAAAGAGTAATGAGGTGCAATTTAATGAATACTCACCAATAAACTCTAAATGTTTTAACAGACATTGAGCTTGCCAGATTTTGTGGGATAGGAATTTGAGACAAGTCTATAAATCTTAAATGGTAAGGTGATTAATGATAGTAGATCGTATGAAGACCTTGGTGTAATTCCTATCTGATAGCCATCCAAGAAATGTATCATTTGGAAAACTCTGTAGAATTATTTATAATTTTTTAAAAATGATCCATTTTTAAAGTTACATTTTAAATATGCATAGCCCACTGGAAGACAATTTTGACCAAGAAGAGTTTTTGAGCTTAGGTATCACTTTGAGAGGTAGCCTATTGTGGTTAGTTTAAATTTGATACGACTTAGTAGTTATAAGATGATCAGTCTTTTTTAAAAAAGATCTATTAACAATGGCATGTTTTGAAATAACTCCAGTGGATTCTTCCAATCTGGGAAAAGTGTAAACCCGTTATGGGCTACAGAACCCACTGGGAGGTTTAGTCTGTGTGAACCATTTCTAGACTGATGATAGAGATGTGTTGAGAAGCCAGAGTTGTTCTTCAGTGGGTTGCTTGATGGAAAGCATCTCATTGGTCAGAATATTAATAGAGGTAGGAAAGAAAAAGCAGGTAAAGAGTCAAATCAGTGGTAGGATCCATGGAGAGTAAAATATGCTATGTTGCAGAGATACACACTTAATGTGGTCAGAATCCATACTATCTTCTTTTTTAACAGTCCCTTGTTTTCATCTGAATAATCAAATGATGGAAAATACAATTCAAATTAACATCTGCTCCCTCAATCCACAATCCTCTGGAAGAGCTACACTCCACCCCACTGCCCACTTCTCTGAGAAAATACTTTCCCCCCAACACGCACTCAGTCCCTCCTGGGATAGGCTCGTGACTCTGGTCTAGACAATTAGATCATCCTGTTTCCCAGTGACAGTGTTTAATTCAGGAATTCAGGGGGATAAAAGTGCAATCCAATTACCCAAATGGACTTCTGAGAGTCAGGCCCAGGATTTTATTTGAACTACTGGTGGGAATAAAGCTTTCTTTGTTGTTCTAGCTGAATCGGAGCTGTGAGTATAATGCTTGGGGCTCTTGGTGGCATTTTAAGTGGACAGTTTATCTGGGAACAGAGCCAAAAGATAGGACAGCAAAGCATGCGGACTAATACAATGGGTGCTGAGTGATATTAAGTCCTTGGGTACAGTTACACTTGATGTTAGAACTCTCCCAGTATATTTTAGTTTTTAAATAAAGAATATTTCCTTATTGCTTAAGCCAGTTCAGAGTGCATCTTCCAATATTTGAGAATAAAAGAACCTTAACTGATATTCTAGTTATACCCTAGAGTGAGCAAAGTACAGCAAAATTATTGACAGGTAGAATAGTGAAACGTCTAATATTGAGCTCTAAAAATGTGGGAGCAAAGCTATTTTACTAAAATAAACCATATGGATGAAAAGCTACGAGGTTTTGAGCACAGAATTCTGTTGGTGCCCATTTGAGATACTTGCATAGACTGCCCATTGTTAGGCTAAGTGGGAAATACCAATGTTCCAGCTCTGTTGTATCCATAACTTAAATCAAATTCTCCTAAGAATCAGTAAAAATGATTGATCCTAAGTGAGACCAGTAGTTGACACATTATTCTTTACTCTCAAAACTTAAAAGGCATAGCTGTTGAAAAGTGAATCCTAGTGTTGGTAACTATCGTGAAGCCCTTTGTATCTTACTTATTTCCCTTGGTTTTCACTGTTTCCATGGACACTGATGGCTCTTTCAGCAAGTACCTGCAGCTCTGTACCTATAGGCTTTCCCTGGCAGCCTCAGCTTAAACACTGGTAGGCCTAAAGTCAGGAGTTAATGACTCCCAGGAAGCAATCCCCAACCAAGGATGGAAGGGAAGAAGAGAATAAATGTCCCCGCTTGCTCACTCTTGGAGTGGGAAAGCTCTGAGGCAAGTTCTATAGCATCCACCATAAGTCCCCAGCAGTCTTCAGTCCAGTTGTCAACAACACAGTAAGCAGCTCTTTAACTCATCCTTTTTGGCTGCTTTCCTTCTAACATCTCAATTTTCCACTCTCCCACTCTTCATGCCATTTCTCTTGGGATTACCTCCAAAGGGACTTATTGCATTCAAATTCTTTCTTACTTCTGGACCTGATTCTGACACTATGTGGGTAACCAAAATACATGACGATATATGGAATCATAAAAAGCAACAGGAGACATAATAGGGCATAAAAAACAAAGTCTATGATGAGAAAAGCTTGCAAATGACATAATTTAAGTTGGAAAGTTCAGAAGTTGGTCTGCACAAAGACATGCTGTGTCTTTAAATGAGTGTATCTACCTAAAGAGCTGCAGTGAGCAGACACCCAAATACATAATCACACACATTTGAATAAACATTATTTTCCAATCCTGAAGGGAAATATGTTTGCATTTTTCCCTATCCAACAAACCTTATTTAAGTATTCTGTGTTTTTCTGTAGTTCTGCAACTTGGCCTCTGTGGGTAATGAGCAGATACTCAATGAAAGAAATTGACAAAGGCAGCTTGTATCTCTGAAAAACCATCCAATAACATATTCTGTAGTAGAACAATGAACTTTTTCCAGTAGACAATAGCAGAAGAGTTACAATAAACTTAGGCAAACTTCGCTCTCAGAAATCTGGAAGGAAACTGTCAAGAAACCTCAGGCTGAAGTTTAATAGCTTGTGAACCATAACTTGTTTCCAGTAACTAGTTCTGTAGGTAATTATCTGCTATAGGACCAAAAAGAACAGAGGCTGCTGAATTTCCATTTTTTAGGAAGTTGGAAAGACAATCCCAGAGGAGTAAAAAAGCCCAAAGATATCTATGCTTGAAATAAGCAGAGATTTAAATACCTGTTCTCAGGAATAATAGGTTCAATACTGGATGGAAAACATTTACAATGGGATAATAATAGAGCTAGAAACAGATAGAGGAAAATACATCAGACATGAACATATCACCCATAGAAAAAGATAATAACCTTTAGTGGGGAGGAGAACATTAACTGGTAAGATGCTCCCCACCCCAAAACACTTTGTTAATATTTTACTTCAATTTCAAGATAAAGACAAACATCATATCTTCTGCCTCCTGAAAAAAGAAATAAACAATAATAAAACATATTTTAACGGCCAGTGACCATTATACTTTCCACTTTGTAATTCTATTACCTTCATTTTTCTGGTCCCTGCTCTCTCTTTAGGTTGGCATATTGATTTGAAATTCAATGAAAATCTCATTAAAAATATTTTTGGAGGCAATCCAGAGAGCAAGAAGAAGAGAATGACCTGTGTGGTAGTCTAGAATGCTATGCTGATTCACACTCACTCTTTCTGAACAAAGCCTTCCCTGATCTGTAGTTTATGTACATCGTATTTCTGTGACTCAGATGACACATATGTCCCCTAAAAGAGAAGGGAAAATCTTGAGCTCCCAGAGGTCTATGTGACCATTTCCTTCAGTGATCAGCAATAAACTCCGAAGGCTTGTCATAGTGATTGGCCCCAACCCAAACACGATCCTGGGCAAGGTCCCAAGTTGAAACTCTGCCTTCTTACAATGCCTGCACTGAAAACACAGTATGTGTATTAATAGGTTGCTTGGATCAACCTCATTCCATAGCATGGAATGTGTGTACACATCATAAAAAAAGATGAAAGAACTCCAATCTATGTGGGGAAAAATAAGCACAGAAGATCACATTGAACCTAACTTACATAGGCTCTGTTAGAAAGTAGAAAGTACCTATTTCCTTTTTTTCATTTTCATAAATTGTATTGTTGTACAGCTATGAGATCAGTGCAACACACACACATACACACACACACGGAGACACACACACACAACTGTAAGATTTCAATCCAAAGCTAAATCCATTAACTATTTATGCCTGTGGTTGCAATTTTTGGATTTCTGCAATCAGACCTTGGCGATGACCTTGAGCAGTAGGATATAAATAAGTTCCACTTGCTTAGCGTTCCAATAATGGAACACTAGTCATAAATGGGCTAAGGGGGAGGAGAAACTTTGCACTGAGGTGTAAAAAAATAACTTTTTTGGCTTCAAAGAAAGTATAGGACAATCACAAGCAATTATAAACTTTTCCTCTCTTCTTTTTTAAGGAACACAAAGCATAGGAAGTTATAGGCAGCCTAATGCATAGTCATGTGCCACATGTTTCAGTCAACAGGCTACATATATGATGATGGTCCCATAAGATTATAACTATATATTACATAAATATATTTAAATATGGTAAATATATTTACTGTATTTTTATGTGTAACTATGTTTAGATACACAAATACTTACCATTGTGTTACAGCTGCCTGTAGTTTTCAGTAGAGTAACGTGCTGTACTGGTTTGGAGCCTAGGAGCAATAGTCTACACCGTATACCCTACATGTATAGTAAGTAGGCTATGCCATTTCAATTTGCGTAACTTCACTCTATAATGTTCGCACAATGACAAAATTACCAAGCAACACATTTCTCCGAGTGTAGCCCCTTTGGTTAAGTGACGTACGACTGTAGATTGTTATGATTCAATTTATAATCTTCAGAACTGGGCAATTTATGCTCCAGGAATGTGCTTTATCTTGTATTCAATAGAGATTGGAATTTCTTTCTCATTTTAGAAATGAAGAAAATGAGTAACAAAAGGTAGTGTTCTCAAACTTATCAGAGAAGATCTCAAAATAAAATTCTTAGCCCCAAAAAAGTAGCATGATACCATAAAAACTGTGCCTTTTGCAGTGAGGCTGACTTACATCCAAATGATTTTTTTAAACATACCTCAAAACTGTGGGGTAAGATACTATATATCTGAAGGTTTGTGAAATTTTTAGCACAAGTTTTGGGGTGAGAAATCTATGCATTATTTTCAGAACAACCAAGTTATCTGACCAAAACAAGATACATCGCGATTCATTCTGGAGATAGAGAGAAAGGAACTTTAAAAAAAATTTAATGTCAAGCCTATCTTAGTTTATAGCATACTTAATTCGAAACATTTTTAGATTTGCCAATAATTGGAACCTTAGTAATATAATTAATTCTATTACTCCTCACTGAAATGCTATCACAGAATGCTGATTTCCATTTGACCTGCAAATTTTCTCAAAAACAATGGCAGGAAGGGTCTTATGAGAAAAATGTTTTTAGAAGGTCACCATCCTTCAGGTATATCAAGATTTCCTTTGGTAGAGATCAATGTGAAAATAGTTTCACAAAGTTTATCTCATTTAACTTATATGCTTTCTCTTAATACATCATGTTTCCTTTAAACATGATTGTCAAGATACTCATAAATGTTAATCCGTTATTGTCTCAGCTGTCTATCATTCTTTTGTATGCTTTTTCCCCCGCTCCCTGCCCCTGTGCATATCTTCTATTTTCTCTGTTTTAATGGTTTTCTTAGCTCTTAATATTTTAATATAAAGTATAAAGCCTCTTATCCTCTTGAAATAAATATGAAGTAATTTGCTATTGAAAAAGTCATTGATTATCTACTCATTGTCAATATAGTGGAAATATTACACATTCCTTGCTGCTCTTTCCTCTTTCTATAGGTTTTTTTATTTTTATTTTTATTTTTTGACAGTCTCACTCTGTTGCCCAGGCTGGAGTGCAGTGACGCGATCTCGGCTCACTGCAGTCTATGCCTCCAGGTTCAAGCAATTGTCCTGCTTCAGCTCCCGAGTAGCTGCAACTACAGGTGTGCACCGCCATGCCCGGCTAATTTTTGTATTTTTAGTAGAAACGGGGTTTTACCACGTTGGCCAGGATGGTCTTGATCTCCTAACCTCGTGATCCACCCACCTTACCCTCCCCAAATGCTGGGATTACTGGCGTGAGCCACCATGCCCGGCCTTTCTATAGTATTTCAGTCTCTCTTCCTATTCTATCACTGTACTCTCTTCTAGTTCTCCTCTTAACTCCCTAGTTGCTGACCTTCAGTCGCCATACTTTTTTCTATATTTACTTTACATACTGGTATTTCTAAGTGTTCTGACTTTAGCCTTCTTTTCTTCCTAAGCTATAGGCTCTAGGGGATATTATAACATACCTGTGCTGCTGGTATATATTCTTCCATTTTACAAATGAGAAAAGTGATACATAAAGTGATACATAAAATATGTTATTTATATCCCAAAATCATATATTCAAAAAGAATTGGAGCTTACCTTTTAACAGTGATTATGCTCCTTCTACTACACCACATACGTCTCTGTTGGGCAGGAGATGTGTGGTAACAAAACCCACAACATTTCTGTGGCACAGACAATGTTTATTTCTTGTTTCTGTCACACGTTGCTGCCTTTTAGTGATGGCTTCTGCTTTAGATTGCTGCATTCTGGGACTCCAACTGACAGAGGCTCCACCATCTGGAAGGTTGCTGGTTATGATGGTAGGGAGAATTGAGGATTTGAGCACCAATAATTAAAAACTTAAATAGAGATAAGAAACACGCATCACTTTTGGTCACATATCATTGGCCAAAGCAACTCTCACGGTCATGATTCCAAAGGATAACCATTTAGGAGAGCCAGGTAATTGTAAACGGAATAATGCCTACCACAATTTCCTTATGAGGTAGAGTACTCAACATGTATTTCCTGATTGTAGTGGAATCCTTTATTTTATTGACTAACAGTCCCGTTACATCCTTCTTTATTGCACCCAATTATTGGTGGGGGATAATTTCCTCTCACTCATTTTGTATGATCTTATAGGATGGATCCTAAAGTATTACTATTACTTCAGCACAGCAAGTAGCCAGGCACAGAACCTAAGCTGAGTCCATCAGAGGATCTCCACAGGACTCAAGGTTTGAGGCTTGACATAAAAGCAGATGTAAAGATGGAGGATCATTCATTCTGACGATGCTAACTGACCCAATCATTGTTGCTAGGAAGATCATTGCCCTGGCCTCCCTCCTGGAGACTTCCAGAAATCTCTTGTTTCCTATCCCCAAGCCAGTTTCCCCCTATTTATTCTGTGAAATCCGTGATTGCCTTTAAATATGTTTCTTTGCATAAGATGGTGGGGTTAGATTCTGTTGCTTACAACCAAATTTATACACACTATTTATTAATATTCTGGAGAGATGCTGGGAGTAATTAGGGTATCCAAATGTAAAGTTGTAGGATATATGTGTCGTTAGATAAAATGCATAGGATCATAAATAAACTAATAATGGTGTGATATTAATTTATGTAACTTTTATTGATAACACAGTAAGCAGTGTCAAAAAATTATAAGAAAGCCAGTGAGGACCTTCTAAGAAAGATGTTGACTCCTTTGATGTAGGATGCTTCGACTCAAATTGCTTAGCACCTAGCTTAGAATCAGTTTAGTGATAATAGGATAAGCACTTCACTAATGTAATTCTGAACGAGCAATTTTCATATTAATGGCTTTCTCACTGTATTAATGAAAACACAATTTACCACTATAATGGGGACATCACTTAAATTAGATCAAAATTGCTAACATGATCATGGCTGTTAATAAAGCCAAGCTATTGTATGTTCTAACGGTTCTCCTATTGTATTAACAATGTCCTTATATCCAAAAATTTGTATTACATCAGGAAAATACTTTGTTATTTTATTGCAGACTTGATAATATCACTTACTATATGTACAAGCGGTTGCCATCAAATTACCATTGCGTAGATCTGCCAGTAGCTGAGCAGAAGACAAACAGAAAGGAAAATCCCACAAACGAACAACGAGCATTATATGAGCTAAACGTCCTTATTCTGGGACTATTGTTATCAGTCCTCTTGTATAGATTACAAACAACTATTAAAAGGAAAGAAAGTTATTTAAGAAAAAGAGAAGGTTAAATACTAGAGTCACGTATATAATAGAGTGACCCATTTTTCCACTTCTGTATTAGTTTGCTAGGGCCACCATAACACCATAACATTAGTTTGCTGGATGTCTTAAGCAACAGACATTTATTTCCTTGCCAGATCTAGAAGCTAGGAGTTCCACATCCAAGTGTTGGCAGGGCTGGTTCTTTCCGGGGGCTATGAAGAAGGGATCTGTTCTAGGCTTCTCTCCTTGGCTTCAATGGCCATCTTCTCTCTACCTCTTCAGATCATCTTCCTCCTACATGTCTGTGTCCAAATTTCCTCTTCTTTTAAGAACACCAGTCATATTGGAGTAGGGCCCACCTCAGTGACTTCATTTTAACTCAGTTGCCTCTGTGAAAACCCTGTCTCCAAATATGTCGCATTCTGAGGTCTAGAAGTTAGGGCTTCAACCCATGATTTTGATGGAGGGCATAATTCAGCACCTACCAACCTCCTTAAATTTTCCAGGCATGTGTTAATATCCATTCCCAAAACATACATACATAAAATGTAGCATGTGTAAAATTACCAATTTATGTAATAATTTAAAGGGTTTTTATTTATATTGTATACAAGTAAGCTCCACATTAAGCTGGAACATGAAGTAAGATAACAAGTTTTAAAGTACTTAGCTCACTACTTAGCATATGGAAAATGTAACTACAGGTTAGTCGTATAAATGGCAGCTGTACTATGTGTGTACACAAGAAAAGAAAGTCAAAAAGAGGGAACATATCAATGATAGGTGGGGACATCTCCGTTGGGTTTTTAGATATTCTTATGCCCTGGAATATAACGTTTTATGGGTAAATTTAAAAAATACCCTCCCAGTATTATTTATTGGGAATAAAAGATGAGCTTACCACCATTAGCTGAGATGAGGTATGAATTTCCGCCAAAACATGATGCCTGTTAGTATGGCGCAGACTCAGCTTCAACTGGTAAAGGAGTCACTTTCCCATGGTAGGCGTTAAGTCTTGTTGACTTGGCTACCACCTATTCATTCATTCAATTACACAAATACTTAATGGGCACTTAGTATGTTCCAGATGCTGTTCTAGGTACTGGCAATGTGAGTCAATAAAACAAAGTTCATTCAGTGAGCCTTTTAAATATTTAAAAATTTATGGGTGTGCTTTTTCATACCGGTAAAATTCAAAGGATCAATTTCAAATATGTTGTCAAGAAAATATGCAGTTGAAAGTTCTTCATAACATTTACTTAATTACGGTTTAGCAAATGACACCATGTATTAGTCCATTCTCATGCTGCTATGAAGAAATACCCAAGACTGGGTAATTCATAAAGAAAACAGGTTTAATTGACTCACAGTTCCACATGGCTGGGGAGGCCTCAGGAAACTTACAGTCATGGCAGAAGGCACCTCTTCTGCCATGGCAGAAGGGCAGTAGGAGAGGGAATGATTGCCGAACTAAGGAGGAAACCCCCTATAAAACCATCAGCTCTCTTGAGAACTCACTCACTACCATGAGAACGGCATGGGGGAAATTGCCCTCATGATTCAATTATCTCCACCTGGTGCCACCCTTGACACATAACAATTATTACAATTCAAGGTGACATTTGGGAGGGGGAGGAGACACAGAGCCAAACCATATCACACCATATGATTTAAATACTCTGATACCAAGTATGCTGTTCCATTCTATTCTAATAAGCTTTGAAGTATCTGATAAATCTTAATATGCTGGTTTTTAGTATTTGAAATCTTCTGAACAAAGGTGAAATACCTTAATTTTTGCCTCAGAATGAGTGGTCAAATAGCTGTTTATTTTTTCCCAGCATCTTTTTATTCTTAGCCGTGAAAGATGATCACAGTAATTAAAAGCCTTGACAATAATTTGTTTTAGCTCTTTCTCCTGCAACGTTTTATGAACTCTAATAAAAGTAACATTTTAAAACAGCTTTTAACATTATTTCTTATCACTTCAGTTTCTTTTTATTTTACATAAACTGGAGATATTATCAAATAATAAAAATGGCACATAGACAACGCCAGGGTGAAGAAAGGAAATGAGAATTTTAGATGATTTATTGACTGAAAATGAGAACAATCATAATGAATTGATCTTTATAAACATAGGGAAATAGGTTTTCTTTCTTTGTTTGAGACGGAGTCTCACTCTGTCGCCCAGGTTGGAGTGCAGTGGTGTGATCTCCGCTCACTGCAACCTCTGTTTCCCAAGTTCAGGCAATTCTCCTGCCTCAACCTCCCAAGCAGCTGGGATTACAGGTGCACACCACCATGCCCAGCTAATTTTTGTATTTTTAGTAGAGACGGGGTTTCGCTATGTTGGCCAAGATGATCTTGAACTCCTGAACTCAAGTGGTTCACCCACCTCGGCCTCCCAAAGTGCTGGGATTACAGGCTTGAGTCACAGCACCTGGCACATTTTTCTTATAAGTTGTATTTTAAAATAAACCAATAGCCAATATATATATATTTTAGTAATGAAAGTGATTTTTAGCAAACTTTTTATCATTAATACCTGTGGAGAATCATTTTAGTGTTTTCATAGTTCAAATGAAAGATCTCACTTATTGTTTTGACTTGGTAACTTGAACCAACTTATATAAAACATTTGTAACTTGAGAGAACTGGATACAAGCTGTTTAATTGTGAAATGATATAATGTAATATAATCCTCAAAGCATGTATTTGAATATAGTGCATATGTATTTGCATAGTAATGAATCCACAAAATAAAGTATAAGGAATTAGGTGAAAGCTAAAAATGAAATAAGATATTGCCAGCAAGAAAACATGTGGCTGCATCACATTAAATTTAAATGGAAACTCTTCCTTTAAAACTCATTCTAAATGCATTTTTGTACTTAAGGAAAATAGTATTTGGGTAAAATATTTTCTAATCTTAGGGTATGACAGATTGTATTATATTACATATTATATTATTGACTAGAATAAGAATCAATAAATGTCCCAAATAATACTTTTCATTAGTAAAGTTATTATTTTCATAAAGCATTTTTACACATAGAAAAACAAAACAAAAGAAATACATATCCTGCACATTTATTAAATGCTAGGAACTGCCTTGGCTTTTTATATGCATTACTTCATTTAATCTTCACAACAAATCTGTAAGGTAAAAACAACCCTCGATTGTGGTAGTAAATACTAAGGGGAGAAATAAGGCAAAGGAACAAAATACAGATGCAATGGAACATAACCTTGAAATGTTAAATAAAGGCATTAATTCATTTCCTATTGCCATGTAACAATTTACCATAAACTTACTGGCTTAAAACAACACCTGTTTATTATCTCACAGTTTCCGTGTATAAGGACTCCAGGCACAGTTTAACTGGGTTTTCTGCTCAAGATCTCAATAGTCTGAAACCAAGTTTTTGGCTGGGCTTCAGCATTAGCTTAAGGCTTAGCTGGGTAAGAATCCATTTCCAAGCTTCCTCATATTGTTGCCAAATGATTTTTCTTGCTGCTATAGAATTCGTAGTAGCTTACTTCTCCAAAGCCAGCAATGCAGAGAGACAGAGAATCTCTGCTTCTTAGAATCTCTGACTTTAGAGAAGGCCCAGGCTGCATTTTGAAAGAGTCACCTGATTAATTCAGACCCATATAAGATAATCCCCATTTTTGGCTGCTAATAATTCAACTGATTAGGGACCTTAATTACATCCACAAAATCCCTTTACTCTCATTCTATAATATAACAGAATAACAGGAGGGATAATTCATCTCCTTTGCCACATTCTACTGGTTAGAAGCCGATCAGTTTCCACCCACAATCAAGAGAAGGAATTATACAAAGCCGTCATCTCCTTGTGCATAACCACCACTCGTGGTTAGGGAAGGTCTCACTGAGAAGATCATATTTAAGCTAATACTTGCATAAGCTGAGGGACTGAGGCATGTGTAAATATGAAGGAGAAAGATTTATAGGCAGTAGGAACAGTACGGTGCAAAGATCCTGAGGCTGAAGCTTTCCTCGTTTGTTCACAACAGTAGTGGGCAAAGTGGTTGGATCAGAGTGAGTGTTGTGAAAGATAGAATGTGAAAGATAGAAAAGAAAGAATTCATGCTGATAAAGGAGGGCAGAGTGCGAAGGGCCTTTGCAAGGATTTTGGCTTTTACTGTAAGGCAGACATGAAGCTATTCAAAGCTTCTTAGTATGGGGTGACAACATCTATTCATCTATTTTAGAAGTATCATTCTGGCTTTTAGAAGAGACTATGTAGTAGCGGTCATAGGTAAAAGCAGGGGATCATTTAAAGGCTATCGCCGTAACGTAAGCAAGCACCACAAGAGTGGTGGTAAAGGTGACAGTAATTGTCAGGATTTTTTTAAGTGACTGGATATAAGGGATAAAACAAATAAAGGAGTCAAAGATGATAGCAGGTTTAACATAAACTGTCTGTCACAACTATTCTGCTTAATAAATCTCTCTTACAAATTATAGCATCATATGTCCACAGTGGCCCATGTACAAGGTTATTTATTACATACTTTTTAAAAATGAACTTTTTCATTTTGCAGTAGCTTTAGGTTTACAGAAAATTTAAAAGATTGTGCAAAGGGTTTCTGTATACCCCACAGCCAGTTTTCTCCATTGTTAATATCTTCATATTATTAGAATACATTGGCCACAACCAAGGAAACATTAGCACACTGCCATTAACTAGATACTACACTCTCTTCAGATTTTACTAGTTCAAACGTCATTTTTCTGTTTCAGGATCCCATTGAAGATGCCACATTGCATGTAATCATTGTGTCTCCTTAGGTTCCTCTTGTTCATGATGCTTTCTCTGATTCCCCTTGTTTTTCATGACCTTGGTTGTTTTAAGCAGTGGTCAGATATTTGTAGTAAGACCCTCAGCTTGTTTTGTTTTTGATGTCTTTCTCATGGTTAGACTGGGGTAATGGATTTTGTGTTGAACCTTTATGCATAGAACATTTATGATGTTCACTTTGAGCACCAGGCCAAGTTAGTGTTTGCCTCACTATAAAGCTACTTTCTTCCCCTCCATTCCATACACTGCTCTTCGGAACCATACCACTAAGATTAGCTCACACTCAAGTAGTAGAAAATATAGCCCCATCTCATCGAGGTACAGAATTATCTCTAAGAGATGTATCTTTATTTTCTTCTTTATAAAAGATGTATCTCTATGCATCTTTTATTTTAAGATGTATCTTAAATAAATATGACTTATTTATTCATTTATTTTTATTTGTATGATTCATAAATATTTATTGTATAATTTGTATATTTTGCATTATAAACCATATTTTCTGATGTTTTTCTCTTGGTTAGACTCGAGTTATAATTTTGTGTTGAACATTTATGCATAGAACATTTATGGTGCTTATTTTGAGTACCTGGCCAAGTTAGTATTTTGCTAGGTTTTATGTTTTATAGTCCAACACTACATAATGGTTTTTATTGTTCAATTTGTCACAGTTTTGGCCATTGGGAAATCTTTTAGTTTTACTACTGTGTCCCTTTGATATGACCCCAATTATTTTATTTTTTGAGCACTCTGGACATTACCGGATCCTTCAAGCTCATCTTCTGTATTTCTTGCCTCAGCTCTAGAATCAGCCATTTCTTCAAGGAACCCCAGTTTCTCTTATTAGAGAGTGATGTTATTAATGAAGATCCCAGGCCCCGGGTGTTCTTGCTACATGGCCCTGTTTTTAGTAGGACAACATTTAAAAATAGTCTATATGTCCATTTACAGGGGTGATTAAATGCATTATGAGATAAATCCACATACAATGAAATATGAATTGTAAAAATAAGGAAGTATTTTGTAGATGTGAAACAAATTTCAGAATATTGCATTACCTGAAAAGAAAGCACTTGTGTGAATAGCATGTTATCATGTATTTGCATGTAAACTAACACTTATATAAGAGGAAATTAAGGAATATTTTAGTATGTATATGCAAAATATCCCTAGGAGAGTAAACACGAAATTGCTAAATTAGTTGCTATAAAGAGGAGCATTGGTAACTATTGAATGAGATGAGTGGAAGAATTTTCATCGTATTTACACTTTTGTACCATTTAAGTTTTCAAAGTATTACTCACTCAAATATATCTTGACATCATGGCATACATATTTTAGATGTGGCTATGTACTATCCAACATCCCATGATATTATGGTAAATGAGAGGTGACAAAATAATGGTCTACCAGGGATCATTCTTGGTTATTGTTATTCTTGCTCCAACTAGGTTGTACATTATTTTATGACATAGTCTGCCTTAATTTGTTTTTCTTGCACATTTCAATTCCCTTTTTTCATATCTCATCTTATGTTGAATTAGGCAGACTTAATTGTCTTGCTTATAGTAGGCAATATTTTTTTTTTTATTTCACACTAAAAGAAAGCGTGAAGATTATTTACGGAAAATTAGTCCTTTCATTTGTATTATTTGCTACATTAACTGCCCAGAGGATCTTGTCTTGAATAGAAGTATAAGAGAAAATTATAAACACACAGATTTGAGGGTGCCTGAGACATGTAAACTAGCGATGAGGAGAGTCACAGTGGATGCAGGGAGATGAATTATCCACAAGAAATTGTGGCTTGTTGTAATCTAGTTTGAGGCTGGCAGTCAAATATCTGCTAAGAAGGATCTCAGACCCAGGAAAACTTGGCAAGTATTTTAGTTACAGAAGCAACTAAGCCTCCAAGATGAATTACAAGTTGAATGAAAGCCAAGAAAAAAACCCCAAAAACATAAGCTAGAAGGCATGCAGGCTCGCTTCCTGGAAAGCTTCTACTCAACCCCTCAGAATCCAGCCCACCTATCAACTACCTCAAAGTATTCCCACATCCACTTACAGATGCCTGTTTATTTGTTTACTTCAGCCCTGATTACACAAAATTGTGATTTACCTGTCTATACAGCTGTATCCCTACCAAATGTGAACCTCAAGTTCAGTGACTAGGTTAGATTTGCTGTTACAGATTCAAGGTTTAGAACACAATCTAGAGTACATTGTGAAAACATGTGAAAAACAAAGAAATTAACACAGGAAAAAAGAAATACAATACACAATTTTAAACTAAAACATCAGCTTTGGAAAAGAATCTTTGGAGCACGTATATTAATGAGTGAAAACAGATGTCATGCTAAGGGCTACAAGAGATAACAGAAGAAGAAAATAATAACAATAATAATAGATACAGAGGGCAGGATTAACAGAAAGAAAAACAAAATAACAGTATAAGCAATTCCCAGGCTTAATCTCTCAGCATGCCTACATAACACAGTGCATAATTTAAACAAATGGAACCAAAGATGCCTGAAAAAGGCTTAAAATTCAAATGTATATGCACTGTATTGCGATTCTTGGAAACCTGTATATATTATGAATTAACAAAGGTGCAAATTATAGTTTACAGGCTTTAAATACGCCCAGATCTTTGCCTTCTCCTGATATTGCCAAGAATTTTCTCACTCTCTTTTTAGGATTTATCTAAATACTTCAGAATGAAAATAATATAGATTTGAGAAAATAAAAAGAAAAAGACAAGAGTAAAAAGAACAAATATAGAAAAAGAAGGAACATTTAAGATGAAACAATATGGAAAAAACACTGGGAAGGAGAAAAAAATGAAAAATGATCACGTGAAAAATCTAAGATGTTATTGCCAATTATTTTACAGTTCTCTTCCTTATTTAAGAATAATCAAATCAGCAAGATAATTAGAATAACAATCACTCAAATTTTTTAGTGCACCTATTATGTAAGAGCTTTACCTGAAACAACATTATTCAATTGTCCAATTCTCACAACAGCCTTTTATGAGAATAAATGTTAATATCTTATTTAACAAATAAAGAAACTACAGTCAAGAGGAAGGAGGATTAGTCACACTTCCTCTGAATCTAGTACTCGTCATCCTATATTTTTCTGGAATAAGAGAACATTTGATATTCTTATGTGCAATCAGCACTTAACACAGCTTTCCTGGTCTGATTTCAAATCACGATTCCTTTCCATCTATAGTTTATAATAGTTCCTGTGTGTTGAATGTATACACCCTGGGCAATGAATGTACCATTTGAGTTTCAGACTCTTCTGCCTGAACTTCTTCACTTCACCTTTAAATTTTTTGAATATGTTCTAAACTGTTTTCAGGCCAGTTGCATTGGCATAGCCAGTGTCTAGTCTGATGCTTCACTGATTTACCGGAACTTGCCATTATATATTGCATCACGCCAGGTCTGACCTGAACAGTCTCCCCATTCTTATATCCCTTCACTTGTGAATACAAACCCTTTTATCTCCTTACTTGCCCTTGGTATCTTGTTAACTTATGTTTTAGCTGATGGCACTCCCTGATCTAGAAGGCTGTCCTACTTTTTTTTCCCCCATTTGTACGTATCTTTCCAGGATTAGTCTCCCACCATCTGTTGTGGATTGAATTGTATCCCCCCAAATTCATATGCTGGATTCCTACCCCTTCTCCTCAAGTATCTCAGAATGTGACCTTATTTGGAAATATGTAATTAGTTAAGATTAGCTAAGGAATACTGGAGTAAAGTGGGCCCCTAATCCAGTGAGGCTGTTGCCCTTCATAAAATCACAACCTCACACAGGGAGAACACCATGAAAATATCCAAGTTACTCTGCCACAAGCCAAGTAACTACCAGAAGCTAAGAGAGAGGCCTGGAACAGACCTCTTTCTAATATCTCCAGCGGGAGCCTGGCCCTACTGACACCTTAGCTTCAGATTTCAGGTCTCTGTAACTGTGAAACAATGCATTTCTGTTGTTCTAAGCCATTCAGTGTGTGACACTTTATTTTGGCAGTCATAGGAAACTAATATATCCATGAAGCCATTTTTTGGCCTCCTCCTTCCTTATGAATCTCGTTCATTGCCCAATGATATTACTAAACAAAAAAAACAAAACAAAACCACAAAAATGTCATGCGTTCTACTGAATGCCAAACACCGTGCCAAGAGCTTGACACACACATTATTTCATTTTATTCTTATACAGTCCTATGAGACAAGTACTATATTATCCAGATGTTAATTAGGAGTAATCAAGGCCCCATAACATTTAAGTAACCTGCCTACATTCACATAGATGGACACAGGACTCAATCCTATATCTCTCTGACCTTACTTTCTATACGTTATTGTCTGTAATTTAAAAAAAAAATCATGCTTATACCTATCTATATCTCTGTTCTTGCTTTCTATACTCTGTTGTCTGTAATTTTTAAAAATGCTTATTAAAGTATAATAAGCATTACTTATATGACCTCTTACATTATTGTCTACGTATTTCCACGTCTCAAACCCAAATTGAGATGCTTCTCATAAGCCATGCAATCTACATTTACTATTTCTAAATGTAATTCTAAATGTAAATGTAATCCTTACAACAATCCTACATGGGGCTACATAGGTTCAACTTAACAGATAAGGAAATTTAGGCACAATATTTTAAAGAGCTAGCCTAAGGTCACACAACCATGGAAGCCAAGGGCCAGAATTGAACCCAGGGGTGTGACCTCACAGAATCTTCTCCTAACTGCTACCCTGCACCAGCTCCCTAGTAGCATCTTTGAAAACAAGGACCAAGTTTCATGTTTCAGTTGTTCCCTTCTAATCTACCATAAAGCTGGTAAAATTAGTAAGTTATAAATAAACATTTAAGGAAGAACAGAAGTCTAGGGAAAGTGTGACTGAAATTTCCATTGCCTCTTGAAAAAGGGTGGGGTTATTCATTACACACAGGCTCCTAAAGGGCACAGATTACCTTTTTTCTCATTTCTGAGTCTCCTCCAAATCTGGTGCAATATCCAACATGCGATGTCACTTCATCAATATTTATGGTTGACAGCCTCTGCAAAAGTGCTTTTGTCAGGTAAATCCTTTTAAACAAACGGGAAATCATACACCTCCAAAATGCATTTAATGCAATCAACAAATTAATCTTTAAAGGAGTTTTTACATTATATCACTAGGATATATGAGAAGATAACATAGATATTTTCCGAAAATAAGCATCTATTAACAATTTTGATATTTGCACAACAAATCGATATTCAAAACTACATGGATGATTATAAATGTCCCTTATTAAAGTATTTGTCTATGTGCGCATATATAAATTTTTAATGGAGTTCTGTAAGTATGCTAGCCCAAAGAGCAGCAAGTGTTAATAAGTGTTACATAAAAAAACTCAAGGTGAATATTTTTTCATGGTCTTCCCCAAGAAAACTTTTTTTAATTACCGTAGATGTGACTCCTGTGTACTCCCTACTTTCATTTTTAAGCCAACGGGAAATATATTTCCTACTGTTGTTATGAAGCCTCCAAAGTTAATTACTGAAGATAGTTGGATTATTTTTTGCTTATCTTTATTCTATTGGGACTGTACACCATTTACATGTAGCCATGTAGGGTGAGTTCACTTCTGATATAGTCAATTATATAAGTCTATCGACAGCTATTTTATTATGGGAACAATGGAGACAGACAGCTCGGACTCTGTGATGAATATAGATTAGAGAGAGGTCACCCTGACATACATAATTAGTTTTAGAATGTTAAATTAATAGGTAGAATGCCCCTAAGGCAACCATACATTTAGGCTGAAGCTGCAGGATCTGGAGTCCAGCTCCTGTCTGCTGTTGTTAGCACTGACATGGCCTAATGCACTGCTTATGAAGTGGCATAAGGTATTATTGTAAAACTAAATGGCTGTAAAAAATTGGCATAATACTATGGTCATACCACATATATATCCCTTCAGAAACATTTGTGCTGTTAAATTATTATGCAAATTCTTAATAGGGTGTGGGCTAATCAGATAAATCTTTAAGTGCCTTAAATAGATCTTTAAACAAGGGTTCAATAAGCAATTCATGATGATATTTAGAGAAATGCTAAATTTTTTGTTAGTACTTACTATAGCTTAAAATGTGAAGGTGAAATGAATTAGAATTTCCAGTTATAAATGTGTATTTTTTTCATCCAAGTCTAGGTGAAAAATAATAATATCTATGGCAGAGCTCGCCTAACAAAGAGGACTGGAAGATGATATCCAAATTTTCCTTTGGTTTTAATCAATGGGCTGATGATAGTTTGTATTCGTAAACCTGTTTGAGTAGAGCCACATGATTTTTATATAGAACAGATATTAAATTTTTTAGACATTTTTAGAAATAAGATAAACTTGAAGCAATCTACAGGCATATCTGCAATATAGTTTGTGCTATGCATTACATGATTTTATGACAATAATATGATCTATTTGTTCACATCTTAGCGTTTACTACATGACAAGCACTAAACTAGATAATCTATTATGCTATCCACTTTAATATGCAGTCTATACCTATAAAAGGATGTTACTTTCCACACTTTACTGATGAAGTAAATGAGGTGCCTGTTGGCTGTGAATCCCTGATTATACAACCAGATGATGACAGAGCAAGAACTGCTTGAATCTAAAGCCCACGTTACAGTGGCTTTATATACTTTTTTCTCTTTATGTTATTAAGATCCCAAATGATTGATCTAAAACATACATATTTTGGTTGAGATTAAACGATTAATAAGCAAATCATTCCTCTCCAGTGCCAAGTTGGACAACACCTAGATAAACTTGTGGAATATTTTACTTTCTGAATCTATAGCTCAGAGAAGAGAAGTAATTTCTCAAGACCAAATAGCCAGAGTACAAAGGTCATGGTTAACTTTTAAATGTTCGTTTTGACATTATCATAACCTCTGGGAGTTCAGTGGAACTTACCCAGTGAAATCTTCATTGTTTCTTAGGCTAATGTAGAGACATTAGGTTCATGTTTATGTAATTTAGGTAGCTTCAGAGTATAAATCACAGAACACTCAATAGAGTCAGTGGCTTAAATGATCAGAACATGTAGATTGCACATATCAACAAGGCCAGAGACAGGGAATTTCCAGGTTGCTTCAGCAGCTCAGTGATGAAAATAAAGACTCAGCTGATTTCCATCTGTCTATCCGAATATTGTCTGTACCTTGGCAGTATTCCACTTGTGGTCACAAGATGGTGACTGCAGTACTGGGTATCATAGGCAGACATTGCCAAATCGAATGATAATTCCATTCCTTGGTAAGACGCTAAAATGTGAAACATTTTTAGGAGAATAAAAGCACCTCAGCACACTTACCTTGGATTACTTTGCCTATAATTGAGTCATTTGAATAAGCATGTCCTACCTTCAAGGAAAGATGGGAAAGAGAGTAAGTGTAATCATCTTTAGGATGAAGGAGGCTCTGCCAGCAAAGAAGGTGGATGTGGGGGGTAATGACAAAGGGCAAGAGTCATCCATTAGACAACGATCACTGTTTGCTCCAGTGTTGTACCTTGATATCTACTTACATAGGTACAAAATATGCTGATCTCTCAACAATATAGGCAGACCTGATAAGACAGAAGGAAAGGCCATGAAATCTCAGCCAGGTGGAAGTTGTCATTCCACCAACAGACTTTGTTCCAGGCACACAAAGGAATAAAAACCAAACTGGTCTTTATTTTCCTAGAGATAATAACAGTAGAATGAAATGTCACAGGATAACTGTCCCTTGTTGCTAGATAAATTTGAAGGTAAAACCAATTATTTATTTTACAATCATTATTTTATAATTTATTTACTTATTTCAAAAATAAATGAAAAAAATTGAGGGCTTTTCAAAATCTAAAAATTCTAATTGTATGGCAATTCAATATCATAGTGAAGCATTTTATCTTATACCAAATGATTAAATTTATTTTATTCTGTAATAGAATGCATCTGAACATTCATACTATTCTTATGTTTATTTGCATTTTCTTTCTGTTTACTAAGTTTTGAGACTAACTCCTAAGTCTCCAAAGTCTTACAGAACTCACAAAATACAAGTGATCCCTAAGTCAACCATATTTTTCTTGGCAGAGATGAATTTTTGTTTCTATTTTCTCCAAGGACAGATATGCAGAAGGATTTATGCTTGTATTTCAGTGAAAGGGAAATTAAACAACATTTTCGATAACCGGAGTTTTATCCCTAACCCACTAGGTAACACACCACCAAACGAGCTGACAATCGCCACATACACAAATTAAATCAAAAAAGTATGTGTTTTTTCTACAAACACACGTGAAAAATAAAGCACTTGAAATGTTTCCATGTAGGAAGTGATACTGTTACCTAGTTTTTAAATTTACATATACAAATACACAGGAGTTTTTAGTGAAAAGGGCGTAACTAGTACTGATTTTCTTGGTAGCAAATTTCTGAATTCCTTTGTAGACAAACAGTCCTAGAATGCTAGGTCCTGGTTAGATTTCCAATATCAGATTTTGACATAAGGATGGAGGTGTACTAACCTATAACTTGCAGAGCGTGAAGCATTATTTTAGCAATAGTTCCAAAAAAAAAAAGATTGAATATAGCAGCTAAAGACTTAGAATCTGGAAAAAGACTTAGAGAGAAAATATGTGTGGTTGCATGGTGTGCGTGTCCACACACACACACAACTGAGATGACAGATGTGAGACACAAAGGTGGCGTCTAGAGACGTGGCTTACGGTACACACCATAGCCCATTTTATAGACTTCTCATTAAACACAACAGTGATGATCCAGACATCACTGAGGAAAATTAGTTTTATATAATTTCATATACGATACCTTCTTTTCTATTAACCAGAGTGAGTCTGCTTCCAACGTTCATACCTGATTTTCTCATTGCTTACAGAACTTGGTTGGGAGCTATGCCAAAAAGTACCCAGCAACTGAGAAGAACAGAGTTAAAGAATATAGTCCCATGGTAATTCAGATCAACAGATGCTCATATTGTGCCCTTGCCTTTATCATATTTTGGGGGACCAAAAATATACAGAAGCAAAGTTATTACATACAAGGAAATTTCCAAGAGACAGAGAAATGTATATCTAGAACTGTTAGAAAATCATTATGTGAGCAGAGAACCCATGGCTATTGGAGACCTATAGCAATGCCTTAATTGAGGAAGCCACCACATTCTATAAGAAAATAATTTTTGAGATTAGAATTTGAAGAAGCTGGACAAAGCCTGGTGGCCATTGGACTAAGTGTGGCCCACAGATGGCTGTTTATCCAGTGCCATGTTTAAGTGGGCTTTTATTTGGGTGTCTTCAGTCAGGGAGCATTCTCATTCTCTACAGCTCACCACAGGTGCTACCTGGATGCTTCTCAAGTTTAACAGTCTTGTCACTGAATGTATGTGAGGTTCCCCTCATAATGCAGATATGGGTGCCACTTGTCTTTACAGAGTCAGGGTTCATGGCTTGATAAGTGGAGCACAGAATGTATTTCAGCTCTAACTCACCCCTTTAGTGTAGTTTATGATCCTCATATCCATACATAACATCCCTCTATATTCTTAAACCAGGAACCACCAGATAAGGGATTTTTGTCAAACTCTGTTTTCTGCAGTTATGAAAGCAATATATTTCCCCATATAAAGTTGTAACACTCGGTACATTTTTTTCAAACAATACAACACTCTCCTTTATCTGCCATGAAATTCAGATATATTCAATCTCCCCAGCCCCATTCAGAATCACTAATGTAGAAAGCCCAGTAGGAAGAGAACTCTAAATGTATCAAGTCCTCTTTTCTTGATTTCTACAATTTTTATGTTTTTGCCTTAAAGTAGCTCTTACCATGAGGTGCCATCCTTTTTTTATGATAAGTTTAGAGAACATCTGACCCTGTTACTCTTCTTGATAGACCCAAAGGGGCTCACAATAACTGCTCATTTCCTCTTTGGAAAGCCTTCCCTTCCTCCGTTAAGGCATCATGTGTAACTATAACATTTGGCAAAATCTAGTAAATTTAGCACTGTTTACAACATGCAGCTGTGTTTTATTCCTAAATACAGCAAAAGTAATCATGAACGAGCTTAAACTACAAAGAAAAATTTTTATGACTACTAATAAAATACACCTATTATTCAATAGGAAATAACCCAACTGAGTGTTCTTTTTATTTTTATTTTTCATGACCGAACTCATTTTCTATTTTATAATTCCAGGAACCAAATGGTAACACTCACAGAGCTGTTTTTTTTTTTTCCTCTAAAATCTAGATGTTGGTAAGATTCTCATCAAACACAGTAGGTTAATGACAGGTACAAGGAAATGGCAGACATTTAAATGATCCAAATTATAATTGGTAATTAGTTCCCAAATTATTCCTGTCTTTTTCAGTTGGAGGGAAAACACTTTTAACCATTATGTAATTACCACGAAGAAACAGAAATATCTTATTCGAACCTAATATTCTTGTGGAATATAACTTGCAGGAGCTGAAAATGTATATTACCTCATATACAATAGAAATAGAAATATAAGGCATTTTTACAATCCTGAAAGAAAATTTCCTTTTAAAAAATACGCCATTATAAATAAGAGCCTTTAAAAAATTCTGACATCATAAAGTATCATTATAAATTGCATTGTTAAGTTTTATCTAGGACATCTCTGTACTAGGAAAATTTATTTCTTTCCTTCTTCATGAGTTCAACTACTGAGCGTATTTTTCATTTTAGTCACGATGTTCTTCTAATCAAAACTAGCAATATCATCTAGAGAGATCTGGGGAATTAATTAGGTACATCTCATTTCTACTGTGCTAATCTTCTCTATGTCTTTGCTTAGGGAAAAGAAGCCCATCATTGACTGATAAACCAAGGAGATTCTATTTGCTTTACAGAAGGAGCTACTGAAAGGCTAGCTGTGGTTTATAAATCTTTTAGTCTTATCCTGACATAGTAGCAGCACTTGAATGCTGACCTTGAAATAAAAAGCACTGTGCTCTGTGTGGAATTCAAGTAGAGATATTTCCATATAACCTGATGTTACTTATATATTTTGTCTATTTTAACCAGCGAGAAAGAATGAGAGAGAAAGCATTAATAAGAGCTATGTAGAAGAGGTGGCATAGAGCCTGAAAGGACTTGGAAGGATGATTCTAATTGCAAACAGTTCAAATAAAGATATTTTGGCAAATCTGTCTGCCTGCTAACTTCAGTGCAATTTAATTCATGAAAAAGTTTGAAACATAAATCCAGGTTATTAACTTTTCATTTGAAGGAGAAAGTCTGAAAAAAGGACATTTGTCCCTTCTAGGTGATCAGAAATATTCCAATAATTAAATACATTGCTCTTTCTAAGTCCGATTAAAGAATTAGGAAGTCATGATACAATAAATAGATACCACAAGCTCATCATAGATCCTTAAAATAATAATGGGAGCCGAGTATAATTATTCTCTAGAAGTTTGGATAATTGGCTTTAGTCATCTGGAATCTAACTACATTCCAGGGTACCCCCTAATAATCAACTTATTTCTTTACTACTAAATAAACTTACTTAACTTAATCAACTTATACTTGATGATTCGATCAACTTATTTTCAATTATTAAATACTTACTGACAGGTATCTGCTTCCTACTTTTATGCTTTTTGCTCTTAACCAAATTCCATGTTAAATTATATTTGTTTGGGGAATATTTACTTTAAAACACTATAAAATAAATGTTTGCAGTTTAAATAAATTACAGTTGTAGAAACAAAAAAGATAGCAATGTTAGAAAAAGTCTATTTCAAAAAAATCAGCTCATGGGGTTTATAGTTAATAAGAATGCGCACCATACTACCATTAATTATCCTGAAAAACAGCCAAATGCAATAAAGTTGTTCCTAAATACGTCTCTTAGAAAAACAATGATTTCAGTCACTGCTGAATTCAACATGACGCACACATATTTTGTAATTTGGAGTGAAAGAAGTGGTGTGTGCCACCGGACTGATTACTTAAATATGGTTAAAATGGTTAAATCTATGTTCTGTTTATTTTACCAAAATTTAAAAAATATTTTTTAAAAAGCAAGCGGTGTAATAAATATTCAAGGTGAAGTAGCAATTAGATAAATTATTAGAATCAGTTGTTTATAATGTCTGACATCTGGGAACTGTCCAAACAGACATCTTTTTATTGTAATATAGATGTCTGCAGAATCCCTATACATTGAAATGGCAAGAATTATTATTATTCAAAACTTATTTTCAAATTTCACTACCTGTAGCAAGTTTTAGAGAACAATTTTCCACATCCCTCTGTTTTTTTGTCACTTCCTACCCTGCCAATACCAAGTATATGATAGTGGTAAACTGAACACAGAGATATTAAAGCACTAACAAGTTCATTGCATGTTTTTGTATACAGCTATAGTTCCTTAAATCAAATTTCCTACAGAATATAATGAAATTGTGTCTCATATCTCTTACTGAAAATTGGAGTAACTGTGTTACTACCCCTGAGAAATTTGCTTCCCATCTAGTACTGGATTGGGTTCACCACTGTTGATGTGAACGATGTCCCAATCTCTAGTCTGATTTTCCTAGAGACCATTTTTCCATTGCCAGAATGAAATGGCCCCAGAGCACTGAATTTATGCCCCCATAATGAATGTGGTTAGTCCACAATCACATGCCAAGTACATGTTCATATCATCTTTATGACCTACATAATATATCATGGAGCTCCAGGCTGAAAGGAAACTAATTAACCTTTAATGAGATGAGGACACTGTAGGACAGTTGGCACTATGGAAGGGCTGACATTCCCAGACTGAAACATTCACTTAGGCTTGTTGCCACTGTGGATCCTCTACCTATGTTTGGCACCAGTCTTTTTTTCAGTATTTACTGAATTATTATTATAATATAGCCATCCTCGAAGTCTTTTCTAGTTAAAGGAAATTAAACACTTGGTAAGTTCATAACAGATCATTCTGCTTTGAAGGACTTTAACCATACAGGTATGAAATTAAAAGAACAGTCTCGAACCAAACAGTGGCATTAATATGCTCACTCTCATCACCACAGAACATGACACATTTTTCAATACTGTTGGATTCATATTAAATTTCAGTTGAAGATAAAGTTCAGTGAGTTGATCTCTACCCGGTTTCCAGGATTCACGTAATTTATGAAATTGCAGATACAGGATTAGTTGTCTGACAAATGTGCAAAAGAAAAAATGCTCACAAAGTGTTTATTAATGTTCTGAAGGTTGAGAAAGAAATCTCTTCGGAATTGTTTGACCTTCATTCTTATCATATGAGTTGACAGTTATTCCAGAAAGAAAATACAGAGCCTGTAAAACATCTTTCTCTTCATATTGATCTTTCCATTGAATCCGGACAAACAAATGTTTATCGGTGGCACATTAACGTGGCAAACACTTAGGCATTTATCTGCGAAGGAGTAATGATGTCATTCAAGCCTCACTACAATCACCTGTTCAATTTTCCACATTTGAAAGAGGACAACTCCATTTCCTTCTCTTAGCTCAAATAGGCTGAAGTATGTTATAACTGATTACTTCCCCTCCTTTATTTATTACACTTAAATAAGACCGATTTTCAACTGTCTTTGTAAAATGCATGCATGTTATACGACAGCATTAAGATGATTAAGTCCTTACATTTTATAGACTGTTCAATTTATAAAACAATGATGACATGTCACTACTACTGACTCATACTTTTATAGCAAATTTCCTTCTTTTATTAATTCCAGTACCTTCTCAGGTAGTGTTTTGAAGGGTTTGTAACAAATGTTTTACCCAAAGTAGTCTGCTTTGCTGATAAACAGAATTACTGGCTTCTCTGAAGTTTGTTTAGAAGAATGGAGAAACATCACAGGACTTTTGGTTAATAGTAGAGGAAAACATTCTAACTATTTTAAACCACTTTGATCAATCTTTAGTGGCAGCTAAGTTTTGTTTAAGCAAAAATTATGATACCAAGATGTAATAATTTATAGTTTCAATGTACATGTGGAAGAGTCCACGTGAACTCCCCACCAGCCATCATCACCACCTGCATACAGAATCATGTTTTTTTCCTGATTAATGAAAAATTGTCTATTGACATAGAGAAAATTACTGCCTCTATGTTGTACCTATTTAAGAATGTGGACTATTGCATGAAAAGGGTTTGAGCAATCATCTGAGTCACTGCTTCTCAAACTTTAGGCCTAAGAATTACCCAAGGAACTAATTCAAAATGAAAATGCACTAGGTCCCACCTCAAGAAAATTAGTGCATCTGGAGTCAGACCTAGGAATCTACTTTTTAAATAAGTCCCCCAGATATTTCTGATGCAAGTGTTCCACCAGTCACTGTTTGAGAACATTAGTCTACCTCCTCATTAATAAATATGGGTTCTGAATCCTAAAACGAATGTGGCATGAGAAAGTGTAGTCTTGGTGTTAGGTTGTGGTACAAACTTTCTGCTGTGGCTGCTACTGAAGGAGAATGCCGAGAGACAATGCTGATTTTCTGGGAGGAGGTACACAGTTTGCATGAGCCCACTGGCATTTTAGGAAAGGATGGAATTCGAACTTGAGAGAGCCTTACTCTCTGATTCCCACCAAGGCTACATAGCAAGAAAGGTCCCAGAGACTCCTGAATTTAAAAATACCTATGATGCGGAGAATGAATGAGCAGTAGGTGCTGGGCATAAAACAAGAATTTCAGAATTTGTAGTAGAGATGTTGAATTTCCTTTAGGGCCCATGTCAGTAGTAATACGCTTGAATATTTCTCATTCTGAAGTATGCCTAAACCTCCTCCCCTTTTAGAGGAGGTAAGTTTCCAGGATTTATGGACATTTAGGAAAGTGAAAGGAAATCTAAGAGAGAGAAACCACCTGTTAAATTAAAGCAGATCACAGATCAAATGATTATTAGGAAAAAGAAAATAAATTTGCCTCCAGTTGATAAGTCAGTCGGACAGAGAACAGAAGCTTAAAGAAAAACAGGTATGATCCTGAGGTTTATTTTACCTTTCTTTTTCACTTGCTAATTGGCCAGCGAAAGAGAGTGAGCATTAACTTTATCTGACCTTAGGTCAAGGGGAATTATCTGAAATGAATTCTGGAAATATATTCATTTTTAATACTATCTGGTCACCATAGAATAATTATGAATAATTTGTATGTTTGTTGTACAGAAATTTTACTGCCACTTGATTTTATATCAAAGTTACTATCAAATCAATTTTTTATAACATTAGATTTTTTTTCAAATTTAATCCTCTTAAAATACTTTTGCAAAGGCTGATAAAGACTGTCATCATCAACTGATCATTTTTATTTTGTTTTATCCATTCTGTTGGTCCAAGAAAGCACAAACACCAGAATGAATTCTTCCTTCTTTTTTACTGCAAAAACTCCCTTCATCTTACAACTGACCCTTTATCTGTGCCTTTATTTTTCTGCCAGATATGTCTCTATCTGATAATTTGTCTTTAACAAAGAGAAATAGGCTCTCTCAGTTTCTCAAATGTTCCCTAAATTTTCCTGCTGCATATTTCACCTCCCTGGTCTTAACCACTGCTGTGTGACTATGCTCCTTGTATATTTAATGCCTCTTTCAATACCGAGTTGGATTTATTGTCCCTACACACTTATCTAATTATTACTTTGACAGAGTAACAGTAAATTTTCTCTCAAACTTGAAAAGAATGTCAAAATACAGTTATACATTCATTTATTCAAAAAATATTTAATAAACAACTACTATGGGCTCCACACATCTCAGTTGCTGCAACAGTACAACAGCTACAGTGCAAAATGTCACCATCATTGGTGATAACACATCAATATCATTTTGATATTGAAATATCAAAATTTTAAAACAGAAAAATAGGTACTATCCATGTGTTATGAAAAGGGTATCAACAAAAATGCAACTTCGAAATGTTAAGCCAGTAAAGATTAAAATGGAAATTTCTTTGAAAGCTATTTTTGATGACCTATCATTGTTATATTAAGTGAATGGCATTAAAAGTAGAGATACTTTACTTTCAAAAAATAAAATCTTAATTGCATTGATTAAATAAATTTTAGCCTTCTTACAAGAGGTTTTGGTGAGAAAATCTGTTGTATTAGGAAATATCTCTGAGAAAGAAAAATAGCTAATTTGAATAAGCAGCTGGAATTATTTCCTTTTGTATTCTGTAACATATTATATTGCAGAGCTGTTCATAGACAGGTTTTGTAAAAACAATAGCAGTTTGAAGAAAACTAAGGTACCTAGCCATGGTGCACTTACTAGAAATTTATTAAAATATATTGAAAATATTTTTCTCCACTTCTTTTAGTCTTCTTTACCTTTTAATTATTCCTTAAGACTGACCCTAAAAATCTTTTAAAACTCTCCCATTACTCCTGGACGTCAAAGGTGAATGTTATGTTTATTATTAGTTTTACTGTCATTATTGTCATTATAATTATTTTACATGTTTTAAGTGTAATCATCTCAAAAATCAGAAACTGTAGGTTTGACCACTGTTTGCATAATTGCTAGTACATAATAGGAGCCCAATAATTCTTTTTGATAAAATTTGCAATAAATATAAACACTTTATAAATTACATGTTAATATTCAATATATGTAGTATATCATATGTAAATATCAAAATGCTCTTTCAAAATAATTACTGATAATTTGATTATGATATAATCTAAGAATTTTTAGGAGATGACAAGTGCATGGTTTTATAACAAACATAAATGAACATATATGTTCCTTAAATTATTATCTGTTTTACTAAACTGTACATAGCTCTGGTTGCTTTTGTTTAATGTTTGCTTGGTATTTCTTTCTTATTGTTCTGATTTCAACCTATCTGTGAAATTATATGTAAAATATGCTCCTTTATAAAGAGAATATAGCTGAGTCTTGCTTTTTTTATAGTTTAGTCTGAGAAACTGTTCCTTTTAATTGAAAGGTTTGTCCATTTATACTTAATATAATTATTGCTATATTGAATTTAAGTCTAAAACTTGCTATTCATTTTCTATTTACCCTGTCTTCGCTTTTTTTTTTCTTTTGTGTCTTTTGTCCTTTTATCTTTGGAACATTAACAATTTTTTGGCCATATTTCACTTTATCTCTTCCATTAGTTTTAACATTACACGTTTGGTATCTTTCTTTTAATGGTCATCCCAACAATATACATCTGTTTCAGGTATATACTGTTTCAAAAAAAAAAATCTGAAAATTGAGTGTATTGAAACAACAACCATTAAATTTTATCTTTCATAAGAAATTATGTTACTGGTTGAATTGTGTCCCCACAAAATTTATATGTTGAAGTCCTAAGTCCAAGTACCCCAGAATATGACTGTCTTTGGAAGTAGGGCCTTTAAGGAGGTAATTCAGTTAAAATGAAATCACTAGGGTAGGCCTTAATCCAATGTGACTGCTGTCCTCAAAAGAATAGGAGATTAGGATACAGACACATTTACAGAGGGAGGATCATGTGACATAGAGAGAAGAGAGCCATCTATAAGCCAAGAGAAAGGCTGGTTCCACAGCTTTACAATGCTTTATAAAAGCGTGACTTTTATAATTCACTCACTTCTTTCAGTGACAACGACTGCTTCAACCTATTACATTTTACTTGGAAGTAGAAATCCCAAATTAAATATAACCCTAACTGTTACAACTTAAGAGCCTGGAAAATATAACCTCCAACTTACCTTTCTGCCATTCTTTATTATTGCTCCCCTGCTCACACATTATGCTACAGTAGCATTAGATGTTTAGCATTTTTTAACAACACACCACATTTTCCTGCCTCCGAGTCCCTGCACATGCTGGTCTCACTACCTTGTGCTCACTGAAATTCTGTATGTTCTTCAAGTCCTGCTTCAAACACCACCCTTGTATGCAGTCTTTTCTTAAATGCTCAATTGGAAATGATCTCTCTCGGCTTTAATCTTGGCTTTCCGGATTTATTTTACCTCCCTGATAATACATCATATTTTGTCTTATCCTCTTCTTTCTAAAAAATTTAATCATCTCATTCCCCTCAATAGACAGATTATGAATGTCTTACAAGTAAGATGTCGGCAAGTCTTTACAAATCAGGACTGTGCTTAACTCACTTTATAGGTTCTTAAAAATCTTGCATATAAAAGGTTGAGGTGGGGCAACTGATCACTTCACAAGTCCCCATTCTGAAATGACTGCCTCTGCCTCTCTGCCAGGTATAGAACAGCCATTTTAAGAATAGTCTTACTGAATTATAATTGACTTAAATAAACAGTACACATTTAAGATGTACCACTGACAATTCTTTACATAAGTGTATACCCATGACACCAAAAGCACAATCAAGATAAGAACGTATTTATCACTTCAAAGTTTTCTTATTCACCATTGTAATCTCTCCCACCCACCTCCAAACTCACACAATTTCTATTTTCTCACATTATAGATTAATTTGTGCTTTTCTGAATTTTACATATACGGAATTATACAGTAAGTATTCTTTTTGTTTATTTGTTTCATTCAGCATAATTATTTTGAGATTTATACAAGTTGTTGCATGTTTATAAGCATTTGGATTGTTTTCATATAGTGGCTATTACAAATAAAGCTGTTTTGAACATTCAGGTGCAAGTAAGTCTTCATATGGACATACATTTTCATTTTTCTTGATTGAAAATACCTAGGAGTAGAATGGCTGGATCATATGATAGGTGCATATTTAATTATTTAAGATGCTGCAAAACTGTTTCCCCGAGTGGTTTTACCTGTCCAACAGCAGTTTTTGAGTTCCAGTTTCTCCTTATCCTTGACCACGTTTGGCATGGTTAATCTTTTTGAGTTTAACTCTCCTGAGCCAGGCATAGTGGCTCATTGCTGTAATCCCAACACTTTGGGAGGCTAAGGTGGGTGGATCCCTTGAGCCCAGGAGGTGGAGACCAGCCTGGGCAACATGGCGAGACCCTGACTCTACAAAAAATACAAAAAATTAGCCAGGTGTGGTGGCTTGTGTCTGTAGTCCCAACTACTTGTGAGGCTGAGGTCGGAGGATTGCTTGAGCCTGGGAGGTAGGGGTTGCAGTGAGGTAAGATCATGCCACTGCACTCCAGCCTGGGTGACAGAGTGAGACCCTGCCTCAAAACAAAAAACAAAATAAAAATCCCACAACCACGACAACAACAAAACTATCTTAATAGGTATGTGGTGGTATTTCAATGTAGTTTACATTTGTGTTTTCTTAGTGGCAAAGTGATACTTAGTATTTTTGTGTGTGGCATTATTTACCACATACTCATTTTTAACGAGGCACACACATGCACAAACACACAGAGTTGTTGATTAAAACCTAATTAGTTGCCTGACTAAATATTGGCCAGATACTCTGATTTAGGGACATGTATTTAGAAATGAGAAATCAATTTTATCTCTTTGAGTGACTGAATACGTAAAATGTTATCAAAGACCCTATGGGCAGCCTCATATCTTCATTAGACTTGAAGGAAATGCAGTTAATTTTCAGAGAGACTGAGAGAGATACAAAGAGACAGCTAGAGAGAAAGAAAGAAGTAGGTGTTTAGAGAGAGGGAGAGATGGGAGAGGAACACAGAATACTGTTTGAAGTCTACACACATTTCTAAATCCCAGTTTCCGTTATTCCTGAGTTCCAGCCACTTTCTGACCTCAGCTTTCAGAAACACAACTTTCTTCTTGTAGACATAACCTAGCTCCAGTTGTCTATTATAATTTGCAACCAAAGGTAATAAAAATGTTTATTTAATTAATTAAAATATCTCTGCAGTGTCAACAGTAGGCTATAAAGGTTGAAGGATTATTTTAGAGCAATTTAAGCATTAATTCTTTAGTGAAGTGCCATATTTAGCAAGTATAATTTCACTACATGTAAATATACCATTCTTCATTGTTTTCATTTCTAGCTTACAATAATAACCTCTGTATATAGTGTTTTCACAGGATTAATGGCTGGTTGGGGTTAATGTCTCTCAGCTATGCCATGGGCCATCAACTCTTTTCAGCTGGCCATTAATCCCCAGGAAATGCCTTGTACCTCAATCATTATGGCTTAATTAGGTCATTAAGAAGCTGCTGGTTAATTGCCACATTATAGACATCCAGAGATGGGCAGGTGGCTGCAAAGACCAGAAGAATCATGCAATCACAAAAAGAAAAAAGTATTAACAATTCATATATATTTATGTATATAGAAGATAATAATTAAAAAGTAAATGTTTCTATGTTTTTACTTGGTAAGTTTTAATTAAAAATGTTTATTCAATTAGAAAATATTTTTGAAAATTAGATATGATTTCATTAATAATCTCTCAGGATGCCTATAATCCCAGCACTTTGTGGGGGCCAAGGTGGGTAGAACATGAAGTCAGGAGATCAAGACCGTCCTGGCTAACACAGTGAAACCCTGTCTCTACTAAAAATACAAAAAATTACCCAGGCGTGGTGGCGGGCACCTGTAGTCCCAGCTGCTTGGGAGGCTGAGGCAGGAAAATCACCTGAACCCAAGAGGCAGAGGTTGCAGTGAGCCAAGATCTTGCCACTGCACTCCAGCCTGAGTGACAGAGTAAGACCTGTCTCAAATAAATAAATAATCCCTCAAGATACCAAGTTTCTCATTTTACAAAATATAGTTGGCTCAAAATTTCCTAAATGCGATTTCATATTAGGATATAGAATTGGAATAGTTTTAAATCTAGGTATTCCACCAGCCAGTTACTTTGTCTTGGTTAAGCCTTCTGCTTTTTCTGTGCCTCAATTCTCTCATGTACAGATTTGCACACACATACTAAAATGTGTGGAGCTCTAAGATTCTAAAAATGTACTGAAAAACATATTGAAACTAAGAAATATGTTAATTTTGCACAAGAAATGTGAATCGCATTAGACTTTCATTGAATCCTGTTTATCAAACAACCTCAAATTCAAAACATAAAGATGTTACAAGTCACCAATATCAAGAATTTAAAAAAAAGTTTTTATTATAGATCCTACAGATATTTTAAAAGGAGAATATTATGTACAAATTTATGTCAATAATTTTAGCAATTGATTGTAACAAACAAATTTCTTGAAGGATACAACTATCAAAGCTCTCTTAAAAATAGATAACTGAGATAAGTTTCCTGTCCATTAAAGAAATTGAATTTGTGATAAAAATTATTTTCTACAAAGAAACATCTAGAACCAGTTGGCTTTGTCGAACATTGAACAAAGACATTATACGTTTTCTACATAAGATTTTCCAAAAATGTACATCTAGGCACTTGCTCTTCTAATTCTCCTCTTCCAGAATACAACTTGTATAAGAAAGAGTCATCAGTTTCAATTTGGTAGGCAAAATACTTTAATTTTGACATCAAGGCTCTGAACTGATGGAGAGTAGCTGTTTCCCTTCAGAAAAAAAGTATTACTAAGTAAAGAAAAACACCCAATATTAATATTAACTGAGGAAAAACTATTCATGCACTTCCGGATACAAACTACTTACATCGTACAACATAAGGGTATAAGAAGGAATATTTATTAGTGAATTAATATGAAGAATTTACTTTATCGTAATATGAAACTACAGAAAATCGTTCATGAACTGTTTTTCCAAAAGATATTATACATAAATAAGTAACTGAGCAAATGTTTAAGGATAAAGTTTACTTATTTATGTAGGAACTAACATATATTAGAGTTAATTCAATTCAAAAACATTCATTAAATGCTCACTATCTGACAGGCACTATAAGAATTTGTGCTAGGGAAACAAGATGAAATCCAATGAATTTTTAAAAACTAGATTGTTTTCTCTGTACACATTTTCTGAATGGTGCAGTTCATCACATTCATATTCATTAAACAGCACTGTTTTTTGGTTGTGTATATTATACTTGGAAACATTTTGTGCTTGTGAGACTATTACTCTACACACGTCTGTAATGCTGATAATAACTGACAATCTCAGGACCGGAGAGAGGGCAAATACATTGGAAGGTTTCTGTTAATTAGTTACCGTGGCCATTAGGGCCAAAGTGTATCTGATTTATAAGTTGTTTAAAACTCAAGGGAATAAGAGTTCTACATTTTTTAGCCTAGAGAAAAGTTCAGCCCGGAAAATGGTTCAGCCTAAAGAACAGATCAACCTAGTTGCAAATCTGTTCTATGATATCAGAAATTTTTCCACAGTACACTATTCTTGATATTGAAATTTTGAGGCCAAAATAACCGTGGTGTTTGGGAGTAAGGAGGAGTGGGAGAGGCTATAACATTTTATTAACTTCCAGTGTATCACACTGAGTTGTTTTTGGACTCCTGTCCACTAGGTATTCATTCATTCATTTATTCTTCATTCGGCCAATACAATACAGATCCTGTATTATATGACAGGATCTGTTCTAAGCCCTGAAAACTCAATAGTGAACAAAGCAGAGTAGATCTCAGCCCTAATAGTGCGTACATTCTAATGGGGGAGGGAGGTAGAATAAATCATCAAGTACACTTTCTAAGAGTTGTAAGTGCCACTCAGTGAAATAAAGCATAGAGGTTAGATGATTTAAATTGGTTGGTCAGGGAAGATCTCTTAAAGGAGGTGCTGTTTGAGCTGAGATTTGAACAGGCAGAAGATGCCAGCTCTATAAAGATCAGGTGAGAGAACATTCTGAAGGCAGAAGCAATGGCTGGTGCACTTGGCAGTGAAGTGAGACTGAGAAGGCGAGTCTTGCTAAAATGTAGTGGGTGAGAGAGAGAGGGAGAGAGTAACAAGATGAGGTCAGATCAGGGAGGGCTTTGTAAGAAGCTGAGAAGTTGGGGCTTTATTCAGGGTGCACTTGCAGCCATGTGAGAATGTTGAGCAGCTGGAAATAAGAGTATAAAATCTCAGGACAGGATCAAATCAGGCAATACATATTTTGGAGTCATTGGCCTATAGATTATATTCAGGATCATGAGACTGAATGAAAATGTGCAAAGCGAAAACAGAACCAGTCCCAAGAGAGGGAACTAGGCTACTCCTATAACATGATTACCTGCCCTGAAGCTCTAAATGGTGGCTGTGCTTCTTTTACATTTTTGAAGTGCAGAAAGGGGAGTTCAGAGAAGATGAAGCAGAAAGGTGATTACTGCAGGCTTAGTTAAGAAGGTAGGGTTCAATTTAGGAAGTCTGAGGATTAATGATAGTAGCTCAAGAACAGTATTGAATTGTATACTTCAAGGGAAGAGATCGTATCCTGTTTCTTTTAGTTCTGCCATCTTAGAAACACAACATACATCATTTACTTGGAGCCTGCCACATTACAAGAATGGAAAAGCGAACCTCCTGACTGAGACAAAAACCTAAGGCCTCTTCAACCTCAGATTGCTTCCTCCATTTTGGGAGGCCATTGTTTAAGGAGAAATTTGCCATTATTTCTCCTACAGTGTGGTGCCACATTAGCAGCCCTTAAACAATTGATATTCAGATAAACTCTCACTTTTGACACTTTGTGGAACTTTTACTTTATTCTGGCAGATACCATAATTATATTTACCTTTTTCTGAATGCTTATTTTATTTGTTTTCTTAAATGGTTCTTCTCTAACAATCTTTTTTCTCATTAGATAAGAAATAAAATAGGAGCAAACTCAAGGAAGACACAGCAGAGGCCGCTATTTAGGAGGTTAATACGTTCTTCTCTTGTGTTGCAGAGTTTTCTCCAACCTTGCAATATCTTCCATTCCAGTTCCAGCTAGTCCTGCTGCCTTTAAAAATGGCCCTCTGGCTAAGATTGACCTGGCCACCTCTAGAAATGGTAACCATGTTGACTCTGAAAAGTTGTAGGCTAGAAAGCTTCTAAAAGCCATCATTACCACTGCTCTCTTCCCAAAGGAAACCAAAGCAATAAAACACACACACACACACACACACACACACCCACCCCCCAGAGTTAGGATCTAAACAAGAAAACAGAAACCACTCTTTTTAGAAGTAACTGAATTTAACAGAGGGAATTTGTTATCTATGTGTGGAACGTCTGGGAAACCAAACAGGGAGTTTGGGTAACTCTCTGAATACTCCCTTGAATAACTTTAATTTATGGACATCCAAGGGCAAGAGGGGGTGGGATAAAGAGAGAGGATAGTGTTACTTGAACCCAGAAGTAGCCTCTGCATTGGCCACTGAGGCCGCCCAAAGCAATGACAGAAGAGGAGAGATGCTCAGTTTTCTCCCTTTCTGCATCTCTCCAATCAGGCCTCAGTGCCTCTCACTGGCCAAACCCAGGTGGAGGCAGCTGACAGAGGATTCTGGGAAATGTAGGCTGCAGAGTCAGCTGGCTGCCATACAGAGGAAGACCAAAGGGCAAGGACTGGTTCTGAGGACCAACATGCCTATGCAACCACAGCACATTCTAGATTTTAGGTCAAGAGCGACCAAAAACAAAGAAACAAACAAACAAAAATGTCCTAGTATTCTTCTACATTTCATAAGGGTAAATGCAAGCAAAGGATTTGAGCTGTCTCTTTTAATCAGATAGATCCCATTCTAATGAACTAGTGTTAGGGTAAAGTAATCACATCTTTTGGCACCCGTGTTAAAATGTCTACTTTTCAATATCCTACAAAATATCACTAATAATTTAATATTGCCAAATTCCTACACATAAGAGCATTGAATATGCACCAAAGTAAGATCGGCAGGTTAAAAAAAAAGCACATTTGGTGCACACAGTCATTCTCCACAAGGTCTCCTAAAGCTCCTGATTTAAAGTGGGATTTTGGTACACATCTATTTTCTCGGCAGAGATATACCAATTATAGTTTCCCTCTAGTAAGTCTGTTCTTTCTTCCAGTTTTTCAATGATTCATAAAAACAGGATAAAACATCTAACCATCTCTGAAAGCCAACTAGTTGCATTTGACTCCTGCATGAAGTGCTAAATTTAATTAACAGGACAAAGAATCCAGTCTGAAAAAGTTTAATCATGAAATTCTTCATGTATTAAAGTGGATTGAGTGTATTTAAGTGCTCCTATCTGCTTGTGTACTTATGAAGGGCAGTTAATGTCACCTGCCCTACGTACGCCAAAAGATTATTGTGAGGGCAAAAGGAAAGCTAGACAGTGCTTTGAAAGTGTGTCATTAGGTACAAATGTGAACTAATATTGTCCATGTTAATTTCTTGTTGATTGAGAGGTATTTAATACTGGGCATTTTCTATAGCACACTTACAAGAGGTAGGACTTAATAAACAATATTACTACGTTGCCCCATCATGACCCATAAGATATGATCCTTTAAAAATAATGACTAACAAAATTTACCAGTAGAAGAAACTGAAGCTGCAAATTTCCCCATTTGCTGTACAAAGTCATTATGGGTAACTGGAGTCCACATGCTAAATAAACAAATAAATAAGTGATGCTCTGCCCAACTAAACGTCTGTAGCCAAGTAACAGCTGCAATTTTAAAGAAATAAGCTCTTAAATAAATAGCCAAACAAATCATGCTTTATCTTAATTTGCTCTTGCTCAAAAGGGAGTTTTACTGCTACACATAATGAATGAAAGTGTTTCCAGGGTCAGATTGATTCCATCACTAAAATTAAAACTCAGGTTACACAGAAATCCATCTGCATTCTGCATCTTTAACTACACTCAGTAAACTACCTCCTTAACTGCATTTCTCAAGCTCTTATAATCCTTTGTGGGTGGCAGAAAGCAAAGTTTCATATAGGCAAGGCCAACAAAGATGGAAGCTAAAATGGTGAACCAGAATTTTCATTTCACAAGATAACTGAGTCCCTGAATTGCTTTCTTAATGTCACTGTAAAGGGGATTAGGAGGCAGCTAAAGGGATAGTAGAAGTAGAGTCTACGAATGTGATTTTACTTATTTCTTTAGGACTTTGGTTCTCAGTACAGACTTTGCTTAGTACTGAAGTAGTTATTATTTGTTAATCATTCCTCTGACAAATAGTTATTAACTGTGCTGGTCCAGTGACTCTAATATGGGAGAATTTTGCACTCTCTTCAAGGGACATTTGGCAACATCCAGAGACTGTTTTTTGTTTTGTTTTCAAAATCAACTTGCTACAACTCTACTAGATAGAGGAGAGGGATGCTACAGACCTTCAATGCATAGAACAGTTCTCCACCCCGCACAACAAAGAATTATTAAGGCTGAAATGTCCACAGTGCTGAGGTTAAGGGGCTCTGTGCTAGCCACAGTGTGAGGGTGCTAGGCTATAATGATGGGGAAAACTAAACATAAAAGCATCATGCTTTTGTGGTGCTTACAATTCATTTGAGGAAAAAATACATTTTAGTCTAAAATATATGTTAATATGTAAGCTGTAGTTTTGTCTTTGAAAGAGATGTATATCACCTTATAAGAATACATAAAACTGAAGGATTTGACCTGTTCAGGAAAAGCAGTTATAGATTTTTCTAAGGAAATGAATAATAATAGTTTATATACTGGAATATTTTAGTGATTTTTTTCTGAAATTGTAGATTCATGATTATACTTATAATTGTGCTCAACTGGCTTTTGAAATATTTTCTTTGGTTAGGGTAATAAGATTTTACATAATCAAAAGCTTATCTTTGCTACAGCCTATAGTTCCATGTCCTAAATTTAGTATGTAGCAGTGGAGAAAGCATTAAAAAATTCTTTAGACATAAGCTGCCTGGTTTTGTGCTCTATCAAAGACTTTCAACATCATAAACATATAAAATATATCTTAAATAAATATATATATCGTATAGACACATAAAATATATATAAATATTTAAGAAACATATATTTAACAGCTGTGCATTGTTCTAGCCTAACTTGTTTCAGAGCCTTGTTTTTTTGCCCTTCTATTCTCATACAGAAGACCAGACAAAAGCGGTGATCTTTTGTAAAAGTTAACGGGGTTTTTTTCAATATAAAGAAATTATTATTCTTTGAAATAATTCATTATATTTTTTACAATCTCCACTTGTTTCTTAAGCCCATAAATTCTGTTTTTCAGCATTTCCATTTCTACTACAACAATTTTATGCAAGATCTTAAAGTTCAGGTTGTATTTAGTTGTCATTCTTCTTAACTGTGGATGAAACCAATTGCTTAGTGGAATTTCCTTAGCACTTAGCTTTTATTGTACCATGTATTCCTTTTCCTTCTACTCCTTAACCCATTCCTTCCCTGTTTTCCTTCCTGGGTGTATTTCCTCTTCTTGCCCTGATGTGTATTCAGTCTACAGTGCTCAGTTGTCAACAACTTTTCACTTCCTATAGAGAGCTCACATCATATCCTTCCTGGGATACTGAAATATATAGGCACTGATAGAATCCGTTTAACTAATCTAAACATTTAAATATCCAGACATTTAATATTGAAACTTCTTAATATGCAAATAACCTTGAAGGCAGAAGCAATCCAGCCTGAACCTAGTCACACATTCTTAGCTGATCATTATCAAAATCTATGTCTCCAACCTTTATCATCTTCACCCTCTAGATATTTCCAGTGTCTAAAATCCAACATTTCTATCAAAGTCTCAAAACCAACATTTAAAAGTAAAAAAAAAAACAAAAAAAAAAACAAAAAAAAACAAAAACCAAAGCTTTCCCTTTACTCCTCAGGTGGAATTATTCTCTGTCAATTAGACTCATTTTTCCCTTCCCCAAAGCCACTACATGAAGGCAGTCATCTCTGTTCCCACTGCCATGCTCTAGTGGTGGTCTTGAGAGTGTCAGGAGGCAGCCAAATGTCTAGACAGATAGGAGCAGGTACCCAGTGAAACCCTACCTCCAAGTCGGACAGTTTAAAGCCTGAGAGCCAAGCTACAAGTGAAATCCTCAGAATGGATTGAGAACTTGTCTTCCCTTTTACACACTTTCCTCTGGTTGATCCCCATCTTGTGCCTGTAAATACCCCAGACTCAGTCAGTAGAGGAGACGGCCTGACTTTGGAGAAGAGACAATCTGACTTTGGGGAAGACAACCTGCCCTTCCCATCCCCTCTCTAGCTCCCCTCTCTGCTCAGAACCGTTTTCATTTCTCAATAAAATTATCTGCCTTCACCATCCTTCAATCATCCACATAACCTCATTCTTCTTGGGCACTGGACAAGAGCTTGGGACCCACCATGTGTGGGTACCCAGAAAAGGCTGTCACACTGGCCTTTTGCCCTCACAGGCGGAGAGTAGCCACCTCATGTGACAAGGCCAGGGGCCAAGTGAGTTGCTAACACACCACTGTCCATCTACAAACAGTGGAACTAAAAGCACATTGTGACACCCTCTCTGTGGCTTCCAGGTCACAGAAACCCTCACCTGAGTGCCACTGCATTCCTCTCAAGGAGACACACCTGGTCTGGCCACAGGTCCCACACTCAATCACTCACATGCTCCCTCTTGCAAGGGGATGAGCATGATGGGCGGAGTAGAGGGGCAGTGAGTCCAGCAAAGAGGCCAAGAAAAATTCTTCATCAGTCTTATTATTTCATTTCTGACTAACTGTGTTATTCTCCTCACTGCATATTTGTACATAGAGTCCTGTCTGTATATCACCACACCTTCCTCCCCATAATTTATTTCACGTGTTGACAAAGCAATCTAATACTCCCCAAGCACTACATCAAATGTAATACGTTCTTGCTTAAAATTATGTAATGTATTGTTTTCACAATAAGATTCATATTTTAAATTCTTTTTTCTACCTATGTTCTTATACAAATCCTCACCTTGAAGTCTTCTTGAAGACATCCTTCTTTACACTTCCTTGAAATGTTCCTTCTTGGAGACTTCTAAAAGTTTTTTTTCTCAATATTTCATTTTATTTATGATCACTCCTGTCTCAATATTTGTTATATGCATCAGGTAAGGTATCTGAAACTGTATTAAACCCTCTTACACTGTTAATAATCATTGTTCTGTTCAACTCATTTCTCCAAAATTAGATTGTAAAAATCTTATAGAGGGGATCCAGGCCTTAAATACCTTAAACATTTTTTTAAAAAATACTTTCTCTTCAGTATCTAGCCAAAGTCCCAAGTCTAGTGAGCATAAAGTATACATTTGGTGATTATTTGAATGATACTTATTATTTGTTACAGGGAGGGAAAATATTGCTCTCTCTTGTACAATAATGCAAAGAGAGAGAGAATAACTTTAAAATGTAGAAATATTTTTAGTTCTAGATGAATTTAATAAATATTTCAAAGTATCAATAGTAGGCAATCTACACAGTAGTTTTCAGGATGATTTCAGTTTGGCATGACATCTTAGGTTTCCTTTTTTCTTCAGGAAATGTCTTTCAGACTAAACCTGTTTTAAATATAAGTACAGACTTATTTTATCTCTTTATAGAAAACAACTCCATAGCATGAATTGTAAAAGGAACAAATAGCTTTCAAGAGGTTATTGTGTATATTATTTTTTTCTTCACACTCTCTCCTTTGAATTCCAAAACACAGTTTAATTGAGATAGCCATGATTTGGTTACAACTACATAGCCTATAATTCTGCCAGTAAAATTTCTATCTATTTTTTATAAAGCCCCTGAATAGCAAGAATTAATTACTTAAATTCATCAGTAAAAACCGAGGGATTAAAAACTTACTCTTATCCAGGCATGGTAGCTCATGCGTGTAATCCCAGTACTTTGGGTGGCCAAGGTGGGCAGATGGCTTGAGTTCAGGAGTTCAAGACCAGCCTGGGCAACATGGTAAAACCACATCTCTACAAAAAAAAAAAAAAATTATCCAGGTGTGGTAGCACATACCTGTAGTTCCAGTTATTCAGGAAGCTGAGGCAGAATTGCCTGAGCCCTGAAAGTTGAGGTGGCAGTGAGCCATGATCACACCACAGCACTACAGAGCAAGACCCTGTCTCAAAAAAAAAAAAAAAAAAAAAAAAAAAAGCAACAAATCTTACCCTTAGAAATGCCAAAGTGCTCATTATTAGACTAGCTCTTACATGGCATTGATGCAAGCAATAGTTACTCTGGACAAGTTAATAGGACACAGAACCACCTGAACTGGTTGATACATGTGTTGTAGGAAGAGGAGCTGATGGCTGGCTTTCTTCTTCCCCGTAACTCTTCTCTTTAACAGCCAACAGCACGTGCACATTATTTATTGGAGTATTTCACTCATGAAATTTCTCACTTTGTTTTGAAGAAATGAAAACTGACAATGCTATCCCCAGCAATGATTGGAAAAAAATCAATACGATAGTGAAAATATTGCTGATTCTAGGGATATGGAAGATCACAATGTCTCTGAACTTCAAGTAATCCTTACGAGGCCTGAATTATAAAAATTTTTAAGTTAATTACTGAGAGCTTTTTGGAGACATTTTTAAAAATAGATAGTGCTAAAGCACCCTTATGAAATTACAGAAAAATCAACAATGAAATTCTACTATCATTAAGTATCACTATATTGTGTATCAAGTTCAAATTACAGCAAGGAAAAAATTAAGCATTATACAAAATGATTGTGTAATGGTGACAATGGTATTTATGTCACCAGCTTAAAACTCATCATTGTGATCTTTTGGATCTAGCAAATACCAAAACATAGAAGGAAATTCAAAATAAAAATATTAAAAATTTAAAAATACAAGAGTTGAGTTACATTTTAGAGTGTTATCAATCACTATTTGCTAGCTCAATAATAGTATGTTTTTATTTTGTTGCATGGTTTTTGGCAAATAAAATCATCATTCACAATACTTTTATTACTTCTTTATAAAGAATCTCAGTATACATCACTATGCACTTACTGATATTTAAATTAAGATGTTAAATAATAAGCATCATGAAGACATTAGTGTCTAGCAATACTAATCAAATGAAAGGTAATATAGATATTATCAAATTAGCTAGGTTTTAGCACATATCATGACCTTAGTACTTTCTTAATACATTATTATTTCATTATTATTCATTTATGAATTTCATTAGTTATTTCATTTCTTCACTATCAATTCATTTTGATGTGTACTTGCAGAGACTGCTGCAAACAGAAGCCTTATCTTTGCTCTCCTTCTCAAGGCTTACCTCATTAGCACACAAATACATTTATTTCCATGAAACTGTCAGCAGTTTAAGCATAGAGTCAGTGCGACCTTCATGTTCTTGTTTCTCGAACAGTGCCTGGCACATGGAAGGCAATGGGTTAATGTCTGCTGAATGATCAAATGTGTATGCTGGAAATTTAAAATAGAAGTTGGCAACCAACATGTTGTGGTAGATAAATTAATTTACGAAATTAAATCTGTTAGTCCAATGGAGTATTTTAAGTAAACATTTTTTTCTGATTTATAACTATGAACTGTGGTTCTAAAATTTAAAATGCAATAATTATTTAATTCTCATTTTTAGTGATTTTATGAATCATTAGTTACAGTGGAAAACATGTACTTGGGCATACTTATTAAAATGGTTTAATAGTGAAGGGTATACACCAAGATCTAACTACGAAGATGTTTATCACTAAATTTTAACAAAGGACAATTAAAAAAACACAATTCTTGAATGCTACACAATTGTTTTGATAAAATCCTGCTTAAATATAAAGACATAAATATATTGCCATAAAGAATATGAAATGGCATGGAAAATATATTTTATATTAGTCAAGAAGGCTGTAATAAGGTTATATTCATGGTATAACACTGTTTGTAAAAATAAAATGTTGATATATGTCAAAAGGCATAGAAGAACAAAAGAAGTTTTCTCTGGGTGAGGAAATTGCACATTTTTTAAAATTTTAACCTTGTGCATTTTAGTATTTTCTATAATAATTTTATAACAAATGTGTTACATTTTTAAGTGTTATTTGTTAATTGAGAAAAATAATAAATGGTATAATGAAAAAGGTTTAATCCATATGATTACATAATTCACCAAAAAAGTGTTCTATACACATTTTCTATATAATTTTAGACAAATTACTTTCTAATTGTCTTGGTTATTCTGTCCTTTTACTTCTAAACCAAACTAACTTGGAAGCTAGATATTAAATTTTCTAAAGTAATCTCAAAAACGATGTAAAATTCAATCTGAAAATCAAATCAGTTCAACAAAATATTTTGCTTTGTGCATATTACACACAAAGACCCCCAAATGAGTAAGACATAGCCTCTTTCCTTAAAGACTCACAATTAAGAAAAAAAAAAAAAAGGTGAACTTCCAAGCATACCAGAAAAATAAGAAAGGAGTCATCAGAAAAATATGGCTTTAGATGAGACACTTTAAGGAACTTCTAAATATTTGCCACAAAAATCCTAAAATGAAAAACACATCAAGGAAACTCACAAGCATCAGGAGTGTAATATTATAAAATATTACATTATTTTAAAAAATTGCATTATAATGACACCCCCAACTTCTTCCAGGATAATTATAAATAAATAAAATACATTCCATTCTGTTTGTTGGTTTAATGCTTTCGGCAGGTCTACTTCCTTTAATACGATACTCGTGGCTATTAATGGATTATTCTTATCCAGAACCGTATCAATTAGAGGAGCAGATTGGAAAAAAGCAGGATGTAAATCAATCTTTTTTCAAACATAGAGAACAAGTAGATGAACTAATATACATCCTTTGAAGTCATACCAGCTAAATAATTTCTGCCTCTGGGAAAAATATTTGAAAAAAAAAACGAAACAGCATAGCATGTCATTTTAATAATGTCTTCTATTTTCTTTAGGTTTTGTTTTCAATAATACACTCTAATGAATTTGATTGGTACAAAATTCATGACAAAAATTTTAAGGATATAATGGTCATTTCTGAATGTTTACCCAATGAAACAAATAATAATTATTCATATAGGTTAAATTTGAGTAATTCATCAAACTTATAATAACTTTACCACCTTCAGAACATATTCTTAGTAACTCCAAAACAAATGTTTAAGTGCAAACAGCTGGGAAGAGCAACCAGAATTGGAAGATAATTATTTTCTTTGGAAAATTAACCAGAAAATTAACTAAAAAATTAATTAGAAAATTTTCCTTAGAAAAAATTTTAAGGGACAGAGAGATTTGTCAGAAAACAAATGAATATTAATACTACTTGTTTTTCTCCCAACATTGTCCTATTTTTCCCTGTATTAATATAAAGCATGTTCTACTTCCTAGTTGTATCATTGGAAATTATCCAGTTGGATAAAGACCAGAACTAGTTCAATGTGGTATTCATCACCTAGAGCACTGTTAGCCTTCATTCAATGTTAAATATTAATAACAGTAAAAGCTTCCGTAAGCAAAGCCAGAAAAAGTACAGGGGAATATGAGCAATCACTCACTCCAACACCAACAACTTTACCCAGACCAGAAAAGATCATCCACAACAGAAGGAGGTCGAATTGTTCATGCTGTTTAGACCCACTCCCTCTGGAGAGAGCTAGACCATTATGACAGCTTTGTGGTTAATCAACAGTATGGTCTAAAAATCCTTCAGGAAATGAAATGAGACCATTTAACATTAGAGCTCTCAAAGTGCTATATTTTAATGATTTTTGTTTGTTTGTTTGTTTTTAGAGAGAAAGGTAGATTGTAAGTTTATCTGCAAATGCTACCCTGGCATTTTAATTTTGCACCATTCTCTCCATCACTATAGGAAGAGCAAAGGTACAGAGATTAATGGTTATTACATAAAAACATTATGAAGAAGTGAAAAAAAAAATCACATTCCACAAAGAATTCTATTTCCAGCCTGGCTCTTATATCATGTGTTCTAGGGTTGCCTTCTAACAACATATGGGAAAGACATCAAGTGTTCTCAAACAACCTTGGCAAAACAGTAACTGTCAAATCTCTAACAGAAAATCAAGGGTTGTATTTGGCAACCATTAAATAAATGGGTAGGTTTTGGCAGGATCAATAATTCTATGCTCTTTCTTTACAGCAAAATAAAAGTAGAATCACTTATTTATATAGTCTTAATCCACATAATAAAATGTAACCTTCCCTGTAATTGAATTGTCATTTTTTTAACATTTATTTTCCTTAATGTTGTCCTTGCTGTTTTCTATTGTTATCCTTCAAAATCATAAACACAAAACAGAAGTCCTGCACTAATTATTGTGCTGTAGTTGTTCACTCAGGTTAACTCACCGTGTCGATATCTTGCATCTTAATGGCTAAATTCATTCCACTCCTTGCTTCCTAATTTGTTACAATTCCTATGGAAGTATAATGTGACAACAAAACTCTAGCTTTGAAATCCTATAGTGTGTTAATTAAAGAATGCTGCAGGGAGGTAAAAGATTATTGTAATTGATTAACTGGTTCAATGTTTGGTGATCAACAGACATCAAGGAGTTACAGTCCTTCACAGACGACACCCTTGTACACAAGAAACCTGGCACCAACTGATGTGCCAGGTATAAATGAGAGAAAGAAGTCTGACCCAGCAATAGATAATATTCACACACCAAATGCATGCATGGTAGTTAAAATTAGTTGTTCCTCCACACTGGATATATCATACCATACTTACATTTGGACTATCTCAAATACTGAATATGCAACTATATCTTGTTTATGAAAATGATTGCATTTAGGTTGCTGTCCCTAGGGTATGGAAAACTGGCATTTCTATCTAGGTCCCATCCTTTGTACAGCCTCACATGCTGTTACAGGATCTGGGCAGCTGCTGCGCAGAGACCAAACAGGCAGCACGGAGAGGAAGGGTGGTCTCTCCACCATCTGGTGATCAAAGACCCTTGAGGGGCTCACATTAGGTCATAAGCTTCTGTGCCACCATATGACAGGAACTTGGCCAAACTCTCTTTTTCCATTTCTCACAAGGCTCTTGAGGCACCATGTGGGGTGAGTGGTTATGTCCCTAAGTATGCATATTTGGCCTTTTCCAATCCATTTTCAACAGAGCAGCCAAAATCATCTTTATAAAACATGAATCAGATCAAGTTACACCCTGATTTCCTACTGCACTTAGGACAAAATCCAAATTCCTTTGGTTGCAAGACCCTGCCTCATCTGGCTCCTGCCCAAAATTAATTTTTTTACAGCACTTACTCAATTGTTTGTCATGCTCCAACGCCTTTGACTTCCTTTCTGTTTCTTGAATAAGCAAAGATTTTTACCCACTTGTTAAGACTTTGCAATCCCTTTTACTTATGTCTGGAATTTGCTTCCTCAGTGTTTGAATTGACTACCACTTTCCATTTTCAGGCGTTGACTCAAATATCACCTCTTTTATAAGGCCTTCTGTGGACACATTCCATGAAGTGCCCTCCTACCATTATTTTTATCGTTCTATGTGTGTCTTTTATATACTCACAGTAATTTATAATTATTTTAACCTTTAAAAATTTGGGGGCTGTTTCTGGTGTTCCCTGCTATTTCAGGTGCTCCCAGTTGAATGAAGCTTCTTGAGAGCAGCAACCATCCCTTTTTCTTTACGGCTGTGTCCTCATGCAATGGACTGAATGTTTGCGTCTCCCCCAAATCCATATGTTTAAACCACTCACAATGTGATGATATTGAGGTGGGGCCTTTGGAAATAACTAGGTCATGAGGATGGAGTCCTCAGGAATTGAATTAGTGGCCTCATAAATGGGACCCCAGAAAGCTCTCTCACCTTCTTTCCACCTTGTGAGTACACACAGCAATGATAGCTGTCTACGAACCAGGAAGCAGGGCCCCCAACAATCTTCTGGAGCATTGATCTTGGTTTTCCAAGCCTCCAGACTGTGAGAAATAACTTGTTTTTGTTACCCAGTTTATGGTACTTTTGTTGTAGCAATCCTAAAGGACTAAGACACCTTCATTCCTGACACTTAGTGAAAACTCACCAGATAGTAGTTGTTGAATAAATACATGAACAGATAACTTACTGGCTGAATGATTTACTGGAAATTAGGGACAGGTCGTCTTTGGATATTATTCATTTCAAATATAGTTTTAAATGTAATTTATTTCAAGCCCTACTTTCAACCAAGGGATTGTCTGTCAAATTAAGTCATTTTTATTCTTTTATATTTACCTTTCCTAGAATCATATATCCTAGTTAAGGAAGGAAAATTATTCATGTTAAGCAACTGTACATTAGTTGTTATATCTACACTAGTTAGCCATCTCAACCATCATGTATGAAGCCATTCTAGACATGAAGACACAAAATTCAAAAAGTGTTAATAATCAGGATGCTTCTATTAATAATTTAGCTACTACAAATTTATCACTATGAAGCTCAGATTCAAGCCTATACCTATTCAACTCCTTGGGCTAATTTTCATACTATAAATTGGCTGTTTTTATTGTCAAGGATAAATGACAAGGTAAAATCTGAAGAAAGACAAATCCACTTTAAAATTTGTTACTAGATTGATTAAGAGCATGTCCTGACACCAATAAGTCTAGTGAAATGAACAGTGAGAAATAAAACCACTGGGCATATTATGTTATTCTTCAGCATAAGTTTTTGGATTTTTAAATTAGCTCATTGTTATATCAGGCAAGCAGAGCTGAAAATAAGTGCTTCCAGAAAAATGAGTTATATAAGCTTAGCTTACTAAACTATACTCCAATAATCATAAAGTATGAATTCACTGCTAAGGGACTATATCACAGTTTCAGGGAATGTGTTATTTATTGCAACCATCTACTCATTTATGAAATTTATATTGTTTCTTTGTTTTATAGATTATAATAATGAACAATAACATTTGTCTGTAATTTAATATATTTTGTTATTATATATGAGAATGAGAGAATTTCCCTGCAGGGAGATAAGTTGGACTAAAATTCTCTATCAGTAAATATTTGTTTTAGTGAGTTATGAAGGCTTGAATTTTCTGATAACTTTTTTTAACTGGTCATTCTAAATAAATCAGTTAGAAATATGTCAAGGAAAAAAGCAAGCATATGGTAAAAAAGTTGGCTTCTTTCCTTCATTTCTTACAACCTGAGTCAGAGCACAAGGAAAAGCAGAAAGAGGCATATTCCCATACAAATTAAAAGATTCAGACTGAGGTTAGACAGAGAGCCCAATATTCTATCATTTTCCAAATGATGGAATATCATTCTCCATTTCTTATCAGTAGTGGTCATAGGAAACAAAGCAATTCTGGGCTTCAGGACCTTCAAAAATTAGCTCCTCCTTAAAAACAATGAGAACACTTGTAAAATTTTTCAAAGCAAATTTTTTCAGAACTCTGGAAATTAATCAAAGGTTTCAAACAACCCGAGGAGCATTTACTCAAGAAAAAGTAATGGCTGAACGTGGTAAGAGCTGTAAACTCGGCCGGGCGAGGTGGCTCATGCCTGTAATCCCAGCACTTTGGGAGGCCAAGGCGGGCGGATCACAAGGTCAGGAGATCGAGACCATCCTGGCTAACACGGTGAAACCCGGTCTCTACTAAAAATACAAAAATGTAGCCGGGCGTGGTGGCGGGCGCCTGTAGTCCCAGCTACTCGGGAGGCTGAGGCAAGAGAATGGCGTAAACGCGGGAGACGGAGCTTGCAGTGAGCGGAGATCCCGCCACTGCACTCCAGCCTGGGCGACAGAGTGAGACTCTGTCTCAAAAAAAAAGAACAAAACAAAACAAACAAGACAACGACAACAAAACCGTAAACTCTTGGCATTTTAACTAACTGTATTCACATAATTCTTGCCATAGCTCTGTGGTAGCTTTGAAAACTAGCAGCCTTGCAACCAAACTAGCTGTTAAAAAAAAAAAAAAAAAAAAAAAAAAGTCTTCTGGAAGCCACTGGAGCTAACAGAATGGCTTTAGAGTCACCCCCCCCCCCCGCCCCCAAATCTCACCTCCATATATTAACAATCCTTTGATCTTCCTGGAAGTAATTTCATTGAAAACCTCATTCAAAGGACTTGTCTTTTTTTGACCTAACAGTGAGAAAATCCCAACTTCAGGGCATCACTGAAAAACAATTAGTAGCAATTGCTTAGTATTGCAACTGCCTGAGGTTGTGATACAAGTTTGGATAAATACAAGGTCATCCAAAATACATAAAATAAAACTCTAGGAATTAAGATGTTCATAAAGGACTTTGCAAATCTCCATTTTGGGGAGGGGGGCTGTGATATAGAACGCCAGACACATGTGCACAGCTGAGTGTTTGCTCAGGAAAGACCTCTTAAGATCTTAATATTGCACCACTTACTGACCTTGAATTCTGCATAAACGGGAGGCAAAGGCTAAGATAGAGTTGTAAACTCCTGGAACATTGAAAGTGTGATGCAACCTACATACACAGAGCTCCTCAGCAAATAATGGGAGACAGTTGGTTCAAGCATTTAAAGAAATCTCTGTCTAATTACTAGCTGACCACAAAGCTACCTGATCAGAGACTTCAGTGGCCACACGCGAATACAAACATTATAAAATTACTTAATAAAAATCACAAAACAACTAAGCAGTAGCAGCAGCAACAACAATAAGCCCTTGGAGGAGGGATGAGGGGAGTTGAAACACTAATATTTAAAATGTCCAGTTTTTAACAAAAGATTATCAAAGAAAGAGGAACATACAATCTAAATACAGGGAAAAAAGGTCAACAGAAACAATCCCCGTGAAAGTCCAGATAGTGAATTTAATACACGAAAACTTTAAATAAGCTATTATAAATATATGCAAAGAACTAAAGAAAACCTTATATAAGTAAATAAGGTATTGCAATGTTATTTCACCAAATGAAGAATATTAAAACGAACTAAAAGGGCTGGGTGCGGTGGCTCATGCCTGTAATCCTAGTACTTTGGGAGGCTGAGGTGGGCAGATCACCTGAGGTCAGGAGTTCCAGACCAGCCTGGCCAACATTGTGAAATCTCATCTCTAGTAAAAATAAAAAAAATAGCCAGGTGTGGTGGCAGGGACCTATAATCCCAGCTACTCGGGAGGCTGAGGGAGGATAATTGCTTGAACCCAGGAGGCGGGAGTTGCAGTGAGCCGAGATCACGCCACTGTACTCCAGCCTGGGCGACAAGAGTGAAACTCCATTTCAAAAAAAAGAAAGATATAAAATGTTTTTTAAAATGAGAATTATATAATTGAAAAGTATAATAACTAAAATAAAACATTTACTAGAGAGTCTTAACACAAGATTTTAGCAACAGAAGAATCACCAAATCAAAGTTAGGTCAATTGAAATTATCCAATATGAGGAATGGGACTAGAAAAGAATAAAAAAAAGTAATAGATCCTCAGAGACTTATGGAACACTATCAGACATACCAACATATACATAACAGAAATCCCAGAAGGAGAGGAGAGCAAGGATCAGAAAAATATTTGAAGAAATAATTCACTGAAGCTTCCCAAACTGAATAAAAAGATTAATCTACATATCCAAAAACTTCACCAAACTTGAAGTAAGATAAACTCAAAGAGATCCACACTTACATACACCAAATCAAACTACTGAAAGTAAAAGACAAAGAGAGCATCTTGAAAACAAGATAAAAGTGACCCCTATATTCAAGGGATTCTCAGGAAGATTAAGATTTAATTTATCATTTAATAAATGGAGACCAAAAGGCAGTGGGATGACATATTCAAAGTGCTGAAAGAAAAGTAATGTCAACTAAGAATTATATTTTCAGCAAAACTCTACTTACAGAATGAAGAAAGAATTAACATTCTACAAGATAAAAAAAAAAAAATACTGGCCAGGCACAGTGGCTCATGCCTGTAATCCCAGCACTTTGGGAGGCTAAGGTGGGAGGATCACTTGAGGCCAGGAGTTCAAGACCAGCTAAATAATATAATGAGACCTTGAATCTACAAAAAAATTTAAAAAATAAAATTTAGGAGTGTGATGACACATATTCTGGAGGCTAGGGTTGGACACTTGTTTGTGCCCAGGAGTTCAAGTCATGATAGTGCCAATGCACTGCAGCTTGGATGACGAAGTAAGACAATGTCTATAAAAATAAATCAAAAACACTGCCATTGGCAGGTCTGCTGTACAAGAAATACAAAAGAGAATGCTTTAGGCTAAAATGAAATAACAGTAGACAGTAACTTAAATCTATACATTTTAAAATGTAGGAAAGGTCATTGCATATTTATAACGTCAAACCAGTTTAAATGTATTTGTCTGTAACTTTTCTTCTCTTATCTAGAATATAATAGCATAAAATTATATCAGTAAAACTGTGTTGCACTTAAAATACATAAATTTTAATTTGTATAGTAATAGCACAAAGGAACAGAAGATATTTTGGAGCAGAGTTTTCTTTACTATTGGAATTTAGTTGGTATCAATCCAAACAAGACATTACCTTTAATTCCCAGAGCAAACACTAAGTAGAATATAACTTTAAAAATACAGTATAGTAAATTAAAAAGTAATTAAAACACTACACTAAAATATATCTATTTCACACAAAAGAAGACAATGTGGAGAAATAGACAAACAAAAAAGGCATGGCATTTAGAAATCAACTAGAAAAAGGTAAATATAAGTTCTACCATATCAGTCATAACATTAAGCGTAATAGTTACATACTCCAATCAAAAGGCAGAGAGCGCAAAAACATATAACAACAACAAAACATAATCAAATTACATGCTTTCCACAAAAGACACATTTTGCAATCAAAGCCACAAATAGATTGAAAGTAAAAAGATGGGGAACAATATTTTATGCAAATAATAATCAAAAGAGAACTGGAATGACTATACTAATATTAGACAAAATAGACTTTAAAGCAATTCTTGCTACTAGAGACAAAAAATGACATTTTATAATGATAAAAATGCATTAAAAAGACTAACAATTATAAATTTATGTGCACCTAACAACAGAGATTCAAATTAAGCAAAGCAAAAATCTGACAGAATTAAAGGGAGAAATATTTCCATACAAAAGAATAAAGTTGGACTCCTGCCTTACACCATAGACACAAGAAAACAAAGGAATAAACTTCTGTGACCACAGAGGCCACGCTTCTCAGATATGACACTAAAAGTATAAGCAAAAAAGAAAAAAATAAGATGAGCTTTTTTATTAAGAAAGTTAAAAGATAACCTATGCAATGGTATAAAATCCTGTATTTTATCGGGGACCTGTATTCAGAATACGTGAAGAATACTTCCGATTAAAAGACAAATAACCCCATTTTTAAAAAGGCAAATGATTTGAATAGACATTTTTCCAAAGAAGATATGCAAATAGCCATTACATAAATGAAAATAGGCTAATTACTAGCCATCAAGGAAATGCAAGTCAAAACCTCAATGAGATACCACTTTATACCCACCGGCATAACTATAATAAAAAAGATGAAAAGCATTGGCAACTTTGTGGAGAAATTGGAGCCCTCATACATTGCTGGTTAGACTGTGAAGTGGTGCAGCCACTTTGGAAAACAGTGTGGCAGTTCCTCAAAAGTTTAAGCATAGAGTTATATAATCCAGGAATTCCATTCTTCAGTATATGACAATGAGAGATGAAAACATATGTCCACACAAAAAAACTTATACATAAATGTTATAGCAGTATTATTCACTATATCCAAAATGTAAAAATAATCTAAATGTCCATCAAGTGATGAATAGATCAACAAAATATAGTATCCATAGAGTAGAATGTTGTTCATGAATGAAAGGAATACAATAATGACGTGTAAAATGAAGGAAACTTGAAGACATTATATTCAGTGAAAGAAGCCAGTCGTAAAACATCATATATAGCATGAAATGTCCATAATAGGCAAATGCATAGTGACAGAAAGTAAATTAGTGATGGCCAGGGACCAGGGGGAAGGAGGGAATGGGAAGTAACAACTCACGAATGGGTTTGTGAGGTGTGTTTTTTAGACAAGATGAATATGTTCTAAAATTAGATAGTGATGATAGTTGCAAAACTCTATGATTCTACTAAAAAACACTGATTTGTACACTTAAAGTTGCATTTTATGGTAAGTAAATCATGTATCAATGAAGGTATTTTATTTTGTTTTGTTTTTGAGACAGAGTCTCGCTCTGTCACCCAGGCTGGAGTGCAGTGGCATGATCTCGGCTCACTGCAAGCTCCACCTCCTGAGTTCACGCCATTCTCCCGCCTCAGCCTCCCTAGTAGTTGGGACTACAGGCATGTGCCACCATGCCTGGCTAATTTTTTTTTTTTTTTTGTATTTTTGGTAGAGATGGGGTTTCACCATGTTAGCCAGGATGGTCTCGAACTCCTGACCTTGTGATCTGCCCCCCTCAGCCTCCCAATGTGTTGGGAATACAGGCGTGAGCCATTGCGCCTGGCCTCAATAAAGCTATTTTTTAAGTAGTTGTGAAGAATGAGCAGAACATGCCCTTTTCATCTAGCATCAGGCAATGGAAGAAGATATTTCAACTGACATTAGGCACATAAAGAAAGCACTTTGCTGTAATATTATCCTGAGGTGCAGTGCCTTCAGGACTATACAGAGCAGTAGCAAGGTAATCCCCACTAAAAATCCCCAGATCAAGGCTGTGATCAAGGAGTGATGATGAATGATCAAAACTCAAAACATGTTCAACACAATTATTAGCAACTTCCCCAAAGAAATAACCTATGTAGAGTAACTCAATTGATAAATATTTTTCAAACGTATATATGTCCATGCCTACCTATGATATTTCTAACCCCTAATTAAGTGCTGATTTGCATGATTAGCCCGGAGCAGAAAAAAAATCTTTTTATTGAAAGAGTAGAAGAGCTTAAAATTGGGGGAGAAACATCAGCATTAATCAAGAAGATCTTTGAAAATATCGACAATATAGAGAGAAGAAAACTATAGAATTGTATATACTATTGGAAGACATAATATGAATGGAATATTTGGCATTCTTTTATCTTCAGGAATGAGAATTGGGGGTGCCATAAATACAGCAAAACTGTTATCTAATAGTGTTGTTTTAAGTAAAGGCCAAAACAGTGCATGTGTCACCCCAGGTTCTCTTGGCAACAGGGGCTCCACTGTTAAGTCATACTATTAAGTGATAATAAAACAGCAAATAAGCACTTGCAATAAAGTTCTTAGTAACTCCTTTTCTTTTAGCTAGCTCTACTTTGGAGAAAGATTTGTGGAAGAATTTGGTTTGGGAGGGAATTGTACCACAGAAGGTTCAATAAAATAAGTTTACAAAGAACAGAATTTTAGTAATGCACATGTAATAAGTAGATTTGAGAACAAAAATTGTTTTTGTCATAGAAAAATTTCTCTTGGTGATTTGGTCAAAGTCAGCACTGATAACAAGCAACCTAGTTGGATACGTGCATTGTTGTACTGGCTCAACCCACTGCAATGACTCGAAAGCCTAATGCACATGCATAATGGCAAAAAATTATTTCCTTGACAACCTGTGTTAGTTTGGGAATGGAACATCCCAAGCAGGCTGTGTGGAGTAGCCTATTTGTGGGATGGCTCTCCCTATTCCAAGGTACTACCACGGATAAAAGGGCGTACTCAAGAGTAGAACAGAGAACACACCTCAATCATAGATAAAACTTGTGAGTCTCCTTGAGATGACCTTCCCTAGAATACTACAGATGTCTATTTATTTGTATGATCTGTGACTTTATCGTCTCTTTTCTACCCATAATGCACCCACCTAGATATTTACTGAGTAGAAATGACAATCATGTTTATTTTATTCACCTCACTAATCTGCAGCTAGAACTTAGCATGTTAGCTAATACATCGTTTCAAAATAAATTTTTATACAATTAATTAATAATAAAAAGAGAAAATGTAATTTAAAGTATGACTCAAATGTATTTTTCCTTCACTTCTATTTTCTATTGCATGTGATTCTGTTGCCTTTAAAACTAGAATTTTATCATTTTATGGATGTTTCAATAAAGGGTTTATTTGGCTAAAACCAATCAAACATCAAACACTGATGTTGTAATTGATTGTCGCATCCATATTCTGCTCCCCAACCCTCCCAAAATGCTGATGTACTGACCCCAGGTTTCCACCCTTGAACAACTTTCTCCTCCTTGCTGGAAGATGTCATCTTTGTCCACAGTTCTAATGATCACTTTCAATCAATAGATTCCCAAATGTTACCTACCTTTAGCCCATATTATGAGCTGCAGGTCTGTATATCCATCTACTTTATCTTCCCTGGATGTCTACAGTCTTCTCAAATACACATTTAAGCTCACCATCTTTTCTATAAACTAGTTATCTTAATCTATTCACAACATCTGTGAAGAGCAATGCTTTTTTTCCCAATCACCTAATCCAGAAACCTGAAAATCACCCTGGGTACCTTCATTTTCTAGACTCTCTCCATGCTTACAATCATCACACTGTCTTGTCTATTTCACCTATCCTTTATTTATTGTCTTCACATCTTAGTTCAAAAGATCATCATTTTTGCTTGGATTGTAGCAGCATCCTTGACTCACAGCTTGTCCTTTCAATTAACCTCCTGCTGTGTTGCCAGAATCATTTTGCTAAAAATATAAAACTGATTATGCCACTCCCCTGCTTAAAATATGTCAGCAGTTCAAGACTCCTTGGTAAGGCATAAAATGTTCTCTATGATCTTGCCCTTACCAACCTATCCAGCATCTTCTCCTGCTACACTTCAACATATTCCCCATTATCAAGTTACCTCTTTTGAACATATTTTAACCTCTGCCTCAGATACCAACATCTCACCTCCCAAGCCTACCCCCTGGCCTTTCTATAAATCACAGTAGCTTAACACAAGAAGTGTTACACATTCAACTTGACCAGTCAGTGTTTCTAGTCATCATATCCTCTCAGGTGCCCAGGCAGATGGAACTATGTTCAAATCTGTGTTCCTACAGTCTCATCAATACTGCACGAGTATATAATGAATCACTCACTGGTTCCTAATATCATTGTCTGGAATTGGTACACACACATCAACGTCATTTACATTTCACTGACCAGAGCAGGTCCATGGCCACACCTAACCTCAAAGCAGGAACAGAATTGTTTTGTGTGTCTGAACGACACAGCTGGGCTTTTTATTTCTTTTCTTTTCTTTTTTATTGTTATTTTTGTTTTTATTTCTTGTTTATTTATTTACTTTTTGAGATGGAGTATCACTCTGTCACCTAGGCTGGAGCGTAGTGGTGCAATCTTGGCTCACTGCAACCTCCACCTCCCAGGTTTGAGCAATTCTCCTGCCTCAGCCTTCCGTGTAGCTGGGATTACAGAAGCATGCCACCATGCCTGGCTAATTTTGTATTTTCAGTGGAAACGGGGTTTCGCCCTGTTGCCCTGGCTGGTCTCTATCTCCTGACTTCAAGTGATCTACCCACCTTGGCCTCCCAAAGTGCTGGGATTATAGGCGTCAGCCACTGCACTGGTCCTCCTTTTTATTGTTTTTAAAACAGTACTACTAACATTTAACTTGCACATTACAGCCATCCTTTAAGATTCAGCTCAGGCATCACCTCAATGGGACATCTTTTTTGTCTATGTGGTTTCAATCTG